>NW_003571058.2:879326-1066390 GCF_000001405.40 Homo sapiens
AAGCTTTGCGGCAGTACAGCCCAGGTAATTTGCTGAGCTTGATCGGTGTCAGGGTCAGTCCAAGTGAAAGCGAAGAGAGGCTGGGATGAAGGGTGCAAAGGAATAGTAAAGAAAGCACGTTTGAGATCCAGAACAGAATAATGGGTTGTAGAGGCAGGTATTGAGGATAGGAGAGTATATGGGTTTGGCACTACGGGGTGGATAGGCAAAACAATTTGGTTGATAAGGCGCAGATCCTGAACTAATGTGTAAGCCTTGTCTGGTTTTAGGACAGGTAAAATGGGAGAATTGTAAGGGGAGTTTATAGGCTTTAAAAGGCCATGCTGTAGCAGGCTTTAATCCTTTTAAAGCGTGCTGCGGAATGGGATATTGGCGTTGAGTGGGGTAAGGGTGATTAGGTTTTAATGAGATGGTAAGGGGTGCATGATCGGTCACCAAGGAGGGAGTAGAGGTATCCTATACTTGTGGGTTAAGGTGGGGGGATGCAAGAGGAGGAAGCAAAGGAGGCTTTGGATTGGGAAGAATGGCAGCAATGAGATATAGCTGTAGTCCAGGAACAGTCAGGGAAGCAGATAATTTAGTTAAAGTGTCTCAGCCTAATAAGGGAACTGGGCAGGTGGGGATAACTGAAAAGGAGTGCTTGAAAGAGTATTGTCTAAGTTGGCACCAGAGTTGGGGAGTTTTAAGAGGTTTAGAAGCCTAGCTGTCAATACCTACAACAGTTATGGAGGCAAGGGAAACAGGCCCTTGAAAAGAAGGTAATGTGGAGTGGGTAGCCTCCATATTGATTAAGAAGGGGACGGGCTTACCTTCCACTGTGAGAGTTACCTAGACTGTGATGGTCCTGTAGGCTTCTGAGGCGATCGGGATCGGGCAGTGTCAGTCTTCAGCTGCTAAGCCGAGAAGATCTGGGAAGGAGTCAGAGAGCCTTGGGCCAGAGTTCTAGCTGCTCTGGGAGTGGCTGCCAGGTGAGTTGAACAGTCCGATTTTCAGTGGGGTCCCGCACAGATGGGATGCGGCTTAGGAGGAATCCCAGGCTGTGGACATTCCTTGGCCCAGTGGCCAGATTTCCAGTACTTGTAGCAAGCTCCTGGGGGAAGAGGTTCTGGAGGAACCCCTGGCAGCTGCGGTTCAGGCGTTTGGAGTTCTCGTGTGCTGGAGATGTGGCTGGGGTTTGTCTCATCTGGATACTGGAGTGGAGGCAAGGAATTGCAACTCAGAAATATGTTGCTATTTGGCTGCCTCTACTCTATTACTGTACACCTTGAAGGCGAGGTTAATTAAGTCTTGTTGTGGGGTTTGAGGGACAGAATTTAATTTTTGGAGCTTTATTTAATGTTGGGAGCAGATTTGGTAATAAAATGTATATTGAGAATAAGACGGCCTTTTGACTTAGGGTCTAGGGCTGTAAAGCGTCTCAGGGTTGCTGCCAAATGAGCCATGAACTGGGCTGTGTTTTTAAATTTGATGAAAAAGAGCCTAAACACTATCTGATTTGGGAGAGGTCAGATAAAGAAAAAGGAGCATTAACCTTGACTATGCCTTTAGCTTCAGCCACCTTTTTAAGAGGAAATTGCTGGGCAGTTGGGGGAGGGCTAGTCATGGAATGGAACTGTAAGCTGGACCGGGTGTGAGGAGGGGAGGTGATAAAAGGATTATAGGGTGGAGGAGCGGAGGCTGAGGAAGAATTGGGACCCAGCTCGGCCTGGCGAGGAGGGGAGATGTCAGATGGGTCTGTAGAAAAGGAAGATTAGAAAGACTCAGCGATGCTTGGGGTTGGGACTGACGGGACAGGCGGGAGGGAAAGAAGGAAGATTTGGGACGAGTTGCACTGGGCATAGAGACTAGGGAGGGACCGATGTGTAAAAGAATGCCTGGATGTCAGGCACCTCAGACCATTTGCCCATTTTACAACAAGAATTATTTAGATCTTGTAGGATGGAAAAATTGAAAGTGCCGTTTTCTGGCTATTTGGAACCACTGTCAAGTTTGTATTGGGGTCAAGCAGCATTGCAGAAGAAAATAAGGCATTTAGGTTTTAGGTCAGGTGTGAGTTGAAGAGGTTTTAGGTTTTTAAGAACACAGGCTAAGGGAGAAGAAGGAGGAATGGAGGGTGGAAGGTTGCCCATACTGAAGGAGGCAAGCACAGAGAAAAGAGAGAGTAGAGACATGGAGGGAAGGGGTTCAGGGGTTCTTACCTTCCAGAAAAGCGGGAAAGGGGTCAGGGCACAGAAGTAAGGGATTGGGGTGCAGAGACAAGAGGTCGGGGTGTGGAAATAAGGGATCGGGGTGCAGAGATAAGACGTCAGGGCACAGAAATAAGGGATCGGGGGATTCTTGCCCCCTAGAAAAGCGGTACTTGCCACTAAGGGTGAAGGAGAAGGGGTTGGGGGGTTCTTGCCCCCCCAGAAAAGCAGAGAAGGGGTAGAGACACAGAGAAGGAGTTGGGGGTTCTTGCCCCCCCAGAAAAGCAGTACTTGCCACTAAGGGTGAAGGACCAAGGCAGGCATCCCCATGTGGTCAGACACCTCTGAAACGTGGGTGAATAATCAGAGAGGTGTCCCTGCGTGATTAAACACCAAGGGAAGGCTGCCTTCCCGAGTCCATGACCGGCGCTGGAGTTTTGGGTCCACGAATAAAGCGCGTCTCCTGTCTCTACCAGAAAAGGAAAGGAACTGAAATTAAGAGAAGGGAGAGATTGAAGAGTGGAAAGGAGAAAGTGGTTGAGGGATAGTGAGAGAGGTTGGAGAAGAGAGTAAAAAGAGGCTGCTTACTGGATTTAAAATTGGTGAGATGTTCCTTGGGCTGGTTGGTCTGAGGACGAGAGGTCGTAGGTGGATCTTTCTCATGGAGCAAAGAGCAGGAGGACAGGGGATTGATCTCCTAAGGAAGATCCCCTGATTCGAGTTATGGCACCAAATTTCACTCACGTCCGTGTGAAGAGACCACCAAACAGGATTTGTGTGAGCAACAAGGCTGTTTATTTCACCTGGGTGCAGGCGGGCTGAGTCCAGAAAGAGAGTCAGCAAAGGGAGATAGGAGTGCGGCCGTTTTATAGGATTTGGGTAGGTAAAGGAAAATTACAGTCAAAAGGGGGTTGTTCTCTGGCGGGCAGGAGTGGGGTTCACAAGGTGCTCAGTAGGGGAGCTTTTGAGCCGGGATGAGCCAGGAGAAGGAATTTCATAAGATAATGTCATCACTTAAGGCAAGAACAGGCCATTTTCATTTCTTTCGTGGTGGAATGTCATCAGTTAAGGCAGGAACCGGCCATCTGGATGTGTACATACAGGCCACAGGGGGATATGATGGCTTAGCTTGGGCTCAGAGGCCTGACAGTCTGGATCACCTGACCTGGTGATCCGCACACCTCGGCCTCCCAAAGTGCTGGGATTACAGGCATGACCCACTGCACCTGGCCTTAGAAAACTTCTTAAATATTAAAATGTATGTTATGTGTATTTTGCCACAATTTTTGAAAAGTACCTTCTGGTGTTTAGAGACAGAAGATGAGTGGTTGCCTAGGGCCGGGAGAGTGAGGGGATCGTGGTGATGGGCAGCTGGTCGGCATGGGGTTCTGAAGGGCAGTGATGACAACATTCTAAAATTAGACTGTGTTGACGGTTGCACCAACTCCGTGAATACCACAAAATTTAAACCATTGAATTATGCACTTTTAATGGGTAATTGTATGGCATGTAAATTATATCTCAATAAAGTTATATTTTTAAATACCAAAAAAAGGCCGGGTGCGGTGGCTCACGCCTGTAATCCCAGCACTTTGGGAGGCCGAGAAGGGCGGATCACGAGGTCAGGAGATGGAGACCATCCTGGCTAACATGGTGAAACCCCATCTCTACTTTGAAAAAAAAAAAAAAAAAAAAAAGATTACCCGGACGTGGTGGTGGGCACCTGTAGTCCTAGCTACTCAGGAGGCTGAGGCAGGAGAATGGCATAAACTCGGGAGGCAGAGCTTGCAGTGAGTCGAGATTGCGCCACTCAGGAGGCTGAGGCAAGAGAATGGCATAAACCCCGGAGGCAGAGCTTGCAGCGAGCCGAGATTGCGCCACTGCACTCCAGCATGGGTGACAGAGCAAGAGTCCATCTCAAAAAAAAAAAAAAAAAGATTAGTAATATCCTCTGTGTCACTTACCACTTAAGTGATTGAATCACGACTTGAAATTCATCATCTCAAACATGGCTTAGAGTCTGTAGAGGGGGGACAGTCCCAGGAATGCTGGTGTGGGCTTAAGGCTGAATTAAATAGATCCAGATGGCTCACACCTGTAATCCCAATACCTTGGGAGGCCGAGGCAGGTGGGAGGCTGAGGCAGGCGGATCACTGGAGCTCCTGGAGCGAAGAAAGGATGCTAGTGGAAAAACTGGTGAAATCAGAATAAAGTCTATAGTTTTATTTTTTAAAGGAGGCTGGGCGTGGTGGCTCATGCCTCTAATCCCAGCACTTTGGGAGGCTGAGGCAGGTGGATCAGTTGAGTTCAGGAGTTCGAAACCAGCCTGGCCAACTTGACGAAACCCCATCTCTACTAGAAATACAAAAATTAGCTGGGCGTGGTTGTGGGTGCCTCTAATCCCAGCTACTCAGGAAGCTGAGGCAGGAGAATTGCTTGAACCCAGGAGGCGGAGGTTGCAGTGAGCTGAGATCACACCATTGCACTCCAGCCTGGGCTACAGAGCAAGATTCCATCTCCAAATAAGAGAGACATGACAATTAAATAAATTGTGTAATCTTGGATTAAATCCTAAACCAAATATATGTCACTGGTAAAACAAGTGGTGAAATTTGAATAAAGTGGATAGATCAGACAATAGTGTCATATCAGTGCTATTTCTTGACCTTGAACATTAATAACAGAATGTCCTTGGTTTTGGGAAATATAACCTGAAGTGATTAGAGGTTTAGGGCATCATATGCAAATTAGACACACTTTCTTCGGGGAGAGAGGGAGAGGGAGAGAGGCTGAATGATGAAGCAAATGTGGTAAAATGCTAACTTTGGGGAAATCTGGATGAAGAAATTACAGATTTTTTTTTTTTTTATAGACAGGGTAACACTCTGTCACCCAGGCTAGAGTGCAGTGGCACGATCATGGCTCACTGCA
This sequence comes from Homo sapiens, assembly GCF_000001405.40. Taxonomy (NCBI): domain Eukaryota; kingdom Metazoa; phylum Chordata; class Mammalia; order Primates; family Hominidae; genus Homo; species Homo sapiens. Next base: position 884,444 of record NW_003571058.2, read on the forward strand.
GCTTCTACCTCCCTGGGCTCAGATGACCCTCTCACCTCAGCCTCCCAAGTAGCTGGGACTATAGGCGCACAGCACCACACCTGGCTAATTTTTGCATTTTTTTTTCCCCCAGGCTCGTCTCAAGCAATCCACCCACCTCGGCCTCCCAAAGTGCTGGGATTACAGGTGTGAGCCACTGCACCTGGCCAGAAATTCTTTAAACTATTTTTGCAAGTCTGGAATTATGTCAAAATTAAAAGCTCAAAATAATAAAAGACAATATTCTTATATTTCTTTGGTGAAGGTAACTATGTTATGGCTGAGAGGGTGGCTGAGGTCTGAGGATCCAGCCTACATAAGTCTCCTCCATAGAGGGCATCCAAGCGCTCCGTAGGGGGAAGGATAAAGAAAACACCCAGAGTTATGACAGCTGTGTAAGGGGAAACGCCAGCACCGAGTACTGAATCTTCAGTAAATAAGAAGGAGGCGGGCTGGGTGTGGTGGCTCACGCCTGTAATCCCAGCACTTTGGGAGGCTAAAGTGGGCTGATCACTTGAGGTCAAGAGTTCGAGACTAGCCTGGCCAACATGGGGAAACCCTGTCTCTACTAAAAATACAAAAATTAGTCGAGTGTGGTGGCACACGCCTGTAATCCCAGCTACTTGGGAGGCTAGAACAGGAGAATTGCTTGAACCCAGGAGGTGAAGGTTGCAGTGAGCTGAGATTGCACCACTGCACCCCAGCTTGAGGGACAGAGTGAGATTCCGTCTTAAAGAGAAAAAAAAAAGAATTAGCACATTTGTTTGCCTCAAGAAGATACAACTAGTCTTGTACAGTAGTCACATGTATCCACCAGGATATATTCCAAGGCCCCAGTGGATGCTGAAAACTACATAGTACCTTACATGTATATATATATGTATATACATATATACACATATACGTATATGTATACATACATGTATATATGCATGTATGTATATACATATATGCATATATACATACATGTATATATACATGTATGTATATACATATATGTATATGTATGTATACACGCATACATGTATGTATACACGCATATATGTATGTATATACATATATGTATGTATACACGCATACATGTATGTATATACATATATGTATGTATACACGCATACATGTGTGTATACATATATATGCATGTATGCATGTGTGTATATATACATATATGTGTATATATACGCATATACATGTATGTGTATATATGCATGTGTATATATACATGTACGGTACTATGCAGTATATATACACATATATGTATATATGTATACATATATGTATAAATGTATATATGTGTATATATATAAAAGGTATATATGTATATATGTGTGTATATATAAAATGCATGAATTTCTTTTTTCTTACTGTAGATCTTAACAACTTCTGCATAGAATTTTTTTTTATTAAGTGGAGAGTTAGTTACTTACTTAAAAGAAATGTTTCTTGGCTGGGTGTGGTGGCTCACACCTGTAATCCCAGCACTTTGAGAGGCCGAGGCAGGAAGATTCACTTGAGGTGAGGAGTTGGAGACCATCCTGGCCAACGTGGTAAAAACCGGTCTCTACTAAAAGTACAAAAATGAGCTGGGCGTGGTGTTGGGTGTCTGTAGTCCCAGCTACTCAGGTGGCTGAGGCAGGAGAATTGCTTGAACCCACAAGGCAGAGGTTGCAGTGAGCTGAGATCACACCACTGCACCACAGCCTGGGCAACAGAGCAAGACTCTGTCTCAAAAAAAAAAAAAAAAGAAAGAAAAAGAAAAAGAAAAGAAATGTTTCTTTTCTTATTAAGTTCTTTAAATGAAAAGCTTTTCTTTTCACTTTTATTTTATTGAAACATTATAACACTATCTTTGAAGAAGTTAGTGTTATCATTCCATTCTGATGAAACCAATTAACTTATCCAAGCATATGTATACTGTACACAGAGAAGCCAACGTCAAAACCCCTATTTTTATCTTTTTAGATTCAGCAGATACATGTGCAGGTTTTTTATGAGTATATTGCATGATGCTGAGGCTTGCATTAATGATCTAGTCACCAAATAGGTAGATTTTCAAGCCTTGCTCCCCTCCTTACCCAATGTTTAGCGCTCTCACTTATAAGTGAGAACATGTGGTATTTGGTTTTCTTTTCTTTTTTTTTTTTTTTTTTGAGATGGAGTTTCACTCTTGTTGCCCAGGCTGGAGTACAATGGCACCATCTCGGCTCACTGCAACCTTCACCTTCCAGGTTCAAGCAATTCTCCTGCCTCAGCCTCCCGAGTAGTTGGGACTACAGGCATGTGCCACCACACCCGGCTAATTTTGAATTTTTAGTAGAGACAGGGTTTCTGCATGTTGGTCAGGCTGGTCTCGAACTCCCGACCTAAGGTGATCCACCTGCCTCAGCCTCCCAAAGTGCTGGGATGACAGGCGTGAGCCACCGTGTCTGGCCAGTATTTGGTTTTCTGTTTCTGTGTTAACTCGCTTAGGATAATGGCCTCTAGCTGCATCCATGTTGCTGCAAAGGACATAATCTTGTGATTTTTCAAGGCTGTATAGCGTTCTGTGGTGTATACATATCACATTGTCTTTATCCAGTCCACCTCTGATGGGACCTGGGTGGATTCCATGTCTTCACTATTGTGAATCCTGCTGCAATGAACATACAAGTGCATGTGTCTTTTTGGTAGAATGATTTATTTTCCTTTGGCTATATACCCAGCGATGGGATTGCTGGGCTGAATGGTAACTCTGTTTGTAGTTCTCTGAAATATCTCCAAACCAAACTGCTTTCCACAGTGGCTGAACTAATTTACACCCACCAACAGTGTATAAGTGTCCCCTTTGCTCCACAATCTCACCAGCATCTGTTAATTTCTGGCTTTTCAGTAATGGCCATTCTGACTGGTGTGAGATGGTATTGTTGAGGGATAATTTAGGAATCAGAGAGACCGAGGGGTTGAGGAGGATTTATTATTATTATTATTATTTAGGTGCACCGGCCCCAGTCAGATTAACATCCAAAAAGACTGAGGCTCGAACAGAGAGTCCGGTTACCTTTTAAGCATTTTGTGGGGTTGGGGGAGATCTGTGCAGGGGGAAGCATATTACAGAAGCAAGAAACAAAGGCAGTTATTCAATTGAGACATGCATCACATTATTCCTTACTTTTCAAGAAAAATATGTTTTACGACTTGAGGTTATCCTGTCTAGTGATCTTGCAGCCGCACGGCAAGAGAAACAGGGTCTTCACAATGCCTGGGAAAGGGAGAGATAAGGCTCACTAGCCACAGACAGAAAAACAGGCAGTTCATGTTTAAAGGACTCCACCTCTTTCTCTTCCTCGGGGGGAACTGGGTTTTCTTAAATACAACTGAGTTTTTGTTTACACATTCTGTAATTTCTTTTAATTCCTGTTCCAGTATCTCACTGTGAAACTCCCTATGTTTTTATACGATTCTCAGGGGGTTTCCTCTGGGCATGATTGGGCACAACTTCCCACAGTCAGCTCTGGGTACGACCTCCACATTGCAGAATTGAGAAGTTGACCCAGAAATGCATTTTGGGCTGAGCAGACAATTGTCAGAGTTGCTGGCTAGACCACAGATGTGTCAGAGGGACCACGGCCTTTCTGTAAGCTCATGGTCAGAGGCGGAGGGGAGTTGTGAACGTTCTGATGAAAGCAGTCAACGTGAAAGCGCTCTGGTGATGGGCGCTGGTGCTCACCCACCACTTCCTGTGTATCTATCTCCCTGGCCCGCCCGGCTCAGTCCCCACTGCTCAGCACTAGGCCGGCAGAATCTGAGCGATGTCTTCCACACTCCCTGCCCTGCTCTGCGTCGGTGAGTTCTGGCGTGGAAGGGGAATGGGATCACGGTGTGCCTGGGAGGCAACAGGTCTCATTACTCCCGTCTTCCAGGGCTGTGTCTGAGTCAGAGGATCAGCGCCCAGCAGCGTGAGTCCTTCCTTCAAAGCCCAGGGTCACTCTTCCGGGTTCAGGCCAAGCTCCTTCCACCCAAGCACGGCTGGGGAGAGGGGACAGGGTGCTGGCTTCCCAGGAGAGCTTGGGGCCAGCAGCTGGGTGGAGCCTAAGGTTGGGGGGAGGGGGCTCCGCTGGAACTCCAGCCTCTGATTCCCTTCCAGAGACTCTCCCAAAACCGTTCATCTGGGCCGAGCCCCATTTCATGGTTCCAAAGGAAAAGCAAGTGACCATCTGTTGCCAGGGAAATTATGGGGCTGTTGAATACCAGCTGCACTTTGAAGGAAGCCTTTTTGCCGTGGACAGACCAAAACCCCCTGAGCGGATTAACAAAGTCAAATTCTACATCCCGGACATGAACTCCCGCATGGCAGGGCAATACAGCTGCATCTATCGGGTTGGGGAGCTCTGGTCAGAGCCCAGCAACTTGCTGGATCTGGTGGTAACAGGTAACTGTCCGGTTCTCTAACTGGAGAGTGATCTCAGTCTGCATCCGGGATGCAGCATCATCTATGAACTCTTCCAAGCCCCACTCAGACACTGCTTGTCTCGGTAGGAGGCTGGAAGGAGGGGTGATCCCCATCACAATCCTTGCCTACAAGGGGTTGTCTGCAGACCGTGTCTCTACGTCCTAGGAGCAGATGTGTCCTCAGTCAGTTTCTCCATGACACAGATTCTGAGATAGATATTTGTATGCAGGGGTATGACTGAGGAATGTCCTCAAAAACAATGCCTGTGGGCTAGGCGCAGTGGCTTACACTTTGCTTCCCTCACCCATCACAGGTGGTGGGTTTTTTTTTTTTTTATCTGTTTTGAGACGGAGTTTCGCTCTTGTCACCCAGGCTGGAGTGCAGTGGTGCAATCTCCAGTCACTGCAACCTCCACCTCCTGGGTTCAAGTGATTCTCCAGCCTCAGCTTCCCAAGTAGCTGGGATCACAGGCACCCACCACTACGCCACATTTTGTATTTTTAGTAGAGATGGGGTTTCACCATGTTGGCCAGGGTGGTGTCGAACTCCTGACCTCAGATGATCCGCCCGCCTCACCCTCCCAAAGTGCTGGGATTACAGGTGTGAGCCATCACACCCAGCCAGGTGGTGGTTTTCTAAAAAAAAAAAAAAAAATTAGCTTTTTTTTTTTTTAACAATATGGTTGTTTATTATTATTATCAAGTATTATACATAGTTACATATACATACATAATTGTATGTGCTATACAATTAGGTTTGTTTATACCAGCAACACCAAAAACACATGAGCAATACTTTGTGCTAGGAAGGCTATGATGTCATCAGGCAATAGGAATTTTTCAGTTTCATTATAATCTTATGGGACCACCATCATATATGTGGTACATTGTTGGCCAAAATGTCATTATGCAGCTCACAACAGTATTTCATGTCCATTCAAATATCTTCTTTTGTGAAATGTCTATTTAAATCTTTTGCCTATTTTTAAATTGGGTTGCTTATATTTTGATTGATTAGGAAAAGTTATTTCTATATTCTGTGTCATATACTTGTGTTGAAATATATATATTTTTTGTCTGTGCCTTTTCATTTGCTCAGGGTCTTTGGACCTTGTTTGGAGGTTCTGGCAGGGGAACACAGCTACTCATTTATTCTTTTTTTTTTAATTTTTTTAGTATTTATTGATCATTCTTGGGTGTTTCTCGGAGAGGGGGATTTGGCAGGGTCATAGGACAATAGTGGAGAGAAGGTCAGCAGATAAACATGTGAACAAAGGTCTCTGGCTTTCCTAGGCAGAGGTCCCTGCGGCCTTCCGCAGTGTTTGTGTCCCTGGGTACTTGAGATTAGGGAGTGGTGATGACTCTTAAGGAGCATGCTGCCTTCAAGCATCTGTTTAACAAAGCACATCTTGCACCGCCCTTAATCCATTTAACCCTGAGTGGACATAGCACATGTTTCAGAGAGCACGGGGTTGGGGGTAAGGTCATAGATTAACAGCATCCCAAGGCAGAAGAATTTGTCTTAGTACAGAACAAAATGGAGTCTCCTATGTCTACTTCTTTCTACACAGACACAGTAACAATCTGATCTCTCTTTCTTTTCCCCACATTTCCCCTTTTTCTATTCGACAAAACCGCCATCGTCATCATGGCCCATTCTCAATGAGCTGTTGGGTACACCTCCCAGACGGGGTGGCGGCCGGGCAGAGGGGCTCCTCACTTCCCAGACGGGGCGGCCGGGCAGAGGCGCCCCCCCACCTCCCAGACGGGGCAGTGGCCGGGCGGGGGCTGCCCCCCAACCTCCCGGACGGGGCGGCTGGCCGGGGCTTTTTTTTTTTTTTTTTGAGACAGTCTCGCTGCAGTGCAGTGGTACAATCTCAGCTCACTGCAACCTCTGCCTCAGCCTCAATTCTCCTGCCTCAGCCTCCCAAGTAGTTGAGATTACAGGCATGTGCCACCACACCCGGCTAATTTTTGCATTTTTAGTAGAGACGGGGTTTCACCATGTTGACCAGGCTGGTCTCAAACTCCTGACCCAGGAGGTCGAGTCTTCAGTAAGCAAAGATAGTGCCACGGCGCTCCAGCCTGGGAAACAGAGCAAGACCCTGTATCATTTTTAAAAATGGTTTTAGACGGTAAATCTTCTATTGTGTGTATTTGACCAAAATAATAATTAAAAAAAAAAAAAAAGCTGGCTGCCAGGCATGGTGGCAGGCCCCTGTAGTCCCAGCTACTTGGGAGGGTGAGGCAGGAGAAACGCTTGAACCCGGGAGGCAGAGGTTGCAGTGAGCCAAGATCGTGTCACTGCACTCCAGCCTGGGCGACAGAGAGAGACTCCATCTCTAAAGAAAGAAAAAAAAAAATAGCTGGCTGCTCATCACTGAGTTTCTGGTGTGGTGGCCCCACCTTCTCTCATAGAAATGTATGACACACCCACCCTCTCGGTTCATCCTGGACCCGAAGTGATCTCGGGAGAGAAGGTGACCTTCTACTGCCGTCTAGACACTGCAACAAGCATGTTCTTACTGCTCAAGGAGGGAAGATCCAGCCACGTACAGCGCGGATACGGGAAGGTCCAGGCGGAGTTCCCCCTGGGCCCTGTGACCACAGCCCACCGAGGGACATACCGATGTTTTGGCTCCTATAACAACCATGCCTGGTCTTTCCCCAGTGAGCCAGTGAAGCTCCTGGTCACAGGTGAGGAAATGCTCAATTCCCCACACCCTTCGCCGCCATGTCCTACCTGGAGCCCTGAGGGATCCCCAGAGAGTGATGGGGAGGGTGTCCAAGGGACGTCCACTTCCTGGGTGCCTGGTTGGTCATGTGAGGAAGAACACCAGAAGCAGGAAGGAGGAGGGAGCAGAGAAAGGAATGGTAAGGCGGGTGGATCACAAGGTCAGGAGTTCGAGACCAGCCTGGCCAAGACGGTGAAACCCCGTCTCTACTAAAAATACAGAAATTAGCCAGACGCAGTGGCGGACACCTGTAGTCCCAGCTACTCAGGAGGCTGAGGCAGGAGAATCGCTTGAACCCGGGAGGCGGGGGTTGTAGTGAACCGAGATCATACCACCGCACTGCAACCTGGGCGACAGAGCAAGACTCCATCTCAAAAAAAAAAAAAAAAAAAAAAAGAATGGCAAGACCGGAGGAAACCAAAAACCCTTACTTTTTTTTCTTTATCTCCTTTTCCAGGCGACATTGAGAACACCAGCCTTGCACCTGAAGACCCCACCTTTCCTGGTGAGTAACTGGTCCTTCTAAGCTCAGACGAGCAATCAGAGCCTCCCAGTGACACTAAAAACGTGGCATTCATTCAAAATATTCATCGAGGCCAGGCGTGGTGGCTCACGCCTGTAATCCCAGCACTTTGGGAGGCCGAGATGGTGCATCATTTGAGGTCAGGAGTTTGAGACCAGCCTGGCCAACATGGCGAAACCCTGTCTCTACTAAAAATACAAAACTTAGGCTGGGCATCATGGCTCACACCTGTAATCCCAACACTTCGGGAGGCCAAGGTGGTTGGATCACAAGGTCAGGAATTCGAGACCAGCCTGACCAACATGGTGAAACCCCATCTCTACTAAAAATACAAAAATTAGCCGGGCCTGGTGGTGCTCGCCTGTAATCCCAGCTACTCAGGAGGCTGAGGCAGGAGAATTGTTGAACCTGGGATGCAGAGGTTGCAGTGAGCTGAGATCGCGCCACTGCATTCCACTCCACTGCACGACACAGCGAGACTCCATCTCACAGAAAAACAAAAACAAAACTATTATATATATATATTCATCAAGTGCATAGTATACACAGTGAACTACACTGTAACAGTCAGCCAGGCAGATATCTTGACTCTGCAGCACTTAGATTCTAGCAGGAGGAGACACACCATCGGTCAACGTCAGGATAGCACACAGGAGGGAATGATGCTATGGAAGGAAAAGACAAAGTAGAACAGACTTACAGTGATTGAAATGGCAGCTAGCAATATTAAATAGGTTTGTCCAGATGGACCTCACAGAGAAAGAAGGCATCTGAGCAAATGCGTTCAGACTTGAGTTAATCATGTGGCTGTCAGGAGAAAGGAGGCTCTGGAGAGAATGAAATGGCATCTGCCTGTGCCCTGGGGCAGGAAGATAACTGGGGTAATACAATAATAACTATGAGGCCAGGAGGGTTGAAAATGATGTTTGGAAGATGACGGTGGGATGGGCCTGGGGCGCACGGCTAGGATTACAGGAGTGAGGCCCGGCGCGGTGGCTCACGCCTGTAATCCCAGCACTTTGGGAAACCGAGGCAGGTGGGTCATGAGGTCAGGAGATCAAGACCATCCTGGCTAACACGGTGAAACCCTGTCTCTACTAAAAAAAAATACAAAAATTATCCGGGCGTGGTGGCGGGCGCCTGTAGTCCCAGCTACACAAGAGGCTGAGGCAGGAGAATGGCGTGAACCCGGGAGACGGAGCTTGCAGTGAGCTGAGATCGCGCCACTGCACTCCAGCCTGAGCGACAGAGTGAGACTCCGTCTCAAAAAAAAAAAAAAAGAAAAAGAAAAAGAAAAAAAAATAGTGAGACTTTGAATTTCACTATGTGTGTATGTGTGAGGAGAAAGAGGTAATGATGACTTAATGAGGAAAATGAGGCTTAAATAGAAGACGGGCTGGGCCGGGTGGCTCCCGCATGTAATCCCAGCACTTTGGAAGGCAGGGGCGGCTGGATCACTTGAGGTCAGGAGTTCAAGACCAGCCTGGCCAACACAGTGAAACCCCATCTCTACTAAAAATACAAACATGAGTTGGGTGTGGTGGCGCACGCCAGTAATTACAGCTACTCGGGGCTGAAGCAAGAGGATTGCTTGAACTCGGGAGGCGGAGGTTGCAGTGAGCTGAGATCACACCACTGTACTCCAGCCTCAGAGGCCTGTCATCCCAGCCCTTTGGGAGGCCGAAGCAGGCAGGTCATCTGAGGTTGGGAGTTCAAGACCAGCCTGGCCAACATGGCAAAACCCCGTTTCTACTAAAAATATGAAAAAAATTACCTGGGTATGTGGTGTGTGCCTGTAGTCCCAGCTACTCCAGAGGCTGGAACACAGTGAGACTCTATCTCAAAAAAAAAAAAAATAGAAGACATGACTGGTGCAAAGACACATGCTCACAAGTGCTAGAATGGAATTCCTCGTCAGGTTCGTCCATCTGTGGACCCTTCCACTTTACCTGCTGGATGAAGCTCCTGGGACCCGCAGGGTGAGGTGGGACCTTGTAAAGCTGCAGAACGTCATGGGGTAGACCCAAGGGAAGGAGTGCTGGGGTGGAGGAGGTCAAAACCATCCTCTTTTCTTCACTTCCCTTATCATCAGCAGACACTTGGGGCACCTACCTTTTAACCACAGAGACGGGACTCCAGAAAGGTAAGTAGACAGCTGGGGCCATAGGCTCTGAAGGAAGGGGCTGGGCATAGAGTAGACCTAGGAAGGGAATCTAAATGGGAACAAGAGGGTGTCCTTGGCCAGGCGCAGTAGCTCACACCTGTAATCTCAGCCCTTTGGGAGGCCGAGGCGGGCAGATCATCTGAGGTCGGGAGTTCAAGACCAGTCTGGCCAACATGGCGAAATCCCATCTCTACTAAAAATACAAAAAAATTAGCCAGGCGTGGTGGCGTGTGCCTGTAGTCCCAGCTACTTGGGAGGCTGAGACAGGAGAATAGCTTGAACCCAGGAAGTGGAGGTTGCAGTGAGCCGAGATCGTGCCATTGCACTCCAGCCTGGGCGACAAGACTGAGGCTCTGTCTCAAAAAAAAAAAAAAAAAAAAAAAAAAAAAAAAAAAAAAAGAGGGTGTCCTTACATCCCTGTCAGCGATCACCCTGTTCTCCTGCCTACAGACCATGCCCTCTGGGATCACACTGCCCAGAATCTCCTTCGGATGGGCCTGGCCTTTCTAGTCCTGGTGGCTCTAGTGTGGTTCCTGGTTGAAGACTGGCTCAGCAGGAAGAGGACTAGAGAGCGAGCCAGCAGAGCTTCCACTTGGGAAGGCAGGAGAAGGCTGAACACACAGACTCTTTGAAGAATGACCATGAGACACAGTGGCCATGGGTGGATCTGAAAGCTGGTGTTGAGCCTGGGCGGCGTGAGCTCTGTGTTGGACCCACGGAGGAGGGAGTCACTGCAGGGAAAGAGGGACACTGGCATTCCATTTGTCAGAGCATCCCGGACGATGCAGAGGGTGGGAGAACTACATGCTAAATTTCTTTTTTTTTTTTTTTGAGACAGAGTTTTCTCTTGTTGCCCAGGCTGGAGTGCAATGGCGCGATCTTGGCTCACTGCAACCTCTAGCTCTCCATCCCTCGGGTTCAAGTGATTCTCCTGCCTCAGCCTCCTGAGTAGCTGGGATTACAGGCATGTGCCACCACCCCAGCTAATTTTGTATTTTTAGTGGAGACGGGGTTTCTCCCTGTTGGCTGGTCTCGAACTCCTGACCTCAAGTGATCTCCCCGCCTTGGCCTCCCAAAGGGCTGGGATTACAGGCATAAGCCGCTGCGCCCAGCCACTGAATTTCTTCTGTAGACAAATCCTATGGTCTCTTCTAGGCTCTAACTATTTTTGTACCACTTACTGCAAACCATACTTTTAACCACTCTGGTCTTTTCTGAAAAGATCTCTCCTTCTTTAACAGGATGGCCATGGAAATATTTTTTTCCTACTTTGGTCTTTTTTTCTTTCCTTTCTCTGCAGGAAGCCATTCAAAATAGTTAATAACCAATATAGAATAGGTCTGTATCAAATGGTTCAGGAGGCATTGTGGCAACAACCAGTTGTAGAGAAGCAGCTTTATAAGTGAATCCTGCCAGGCACGGTGGCTCACACCTGTAATCCCAACACTTTGGGAGGCTGAGGCGGGCAGATCACCTGAGGTCAGGAGTTCGAGACCAGCCTGGCCAACATGATGAAACCCCATCTCTACTAAAAATACAAAAACTCGGCCAGGCACGGTGGCTCATGCCTGTAATCCCAGCACTTTGGGAGGCCAAGGTGGGAGGATCACCTGAGGTCAGGAGTTCGAGAGCAGCCTGGCCAACATGGTGAAACCACATCTCTACTAAAAATATAAAAATTAGCCAGGTATGGTGGCGTGTGCTTGTAATCCCAGCTACTCAGGAGGCTGAGGCAGGAGAATAGCTTGAACCCGGGAGGCGGAGGCTGCAGGGAGCCAAGATCGCACCACTGCACTCCAGCCTACGTGACAGAGCAAGATTCTGTCTCAAAAAAAAAAAGAAAAAAAAAAAATAAGTGACTCCTGGCTGCATCCCAACCATACCCCAATTCCTTCTAACCACAGAATTATTCCATCTTCTCTTCCTTTTTTTTTTTTTTCTTTTTTTTTGTTTGTTTTGTTGGGACAGAATTTCACTTTTTTTTTTTTTAATGTAAGTTTTAGGGTACATGTGCACAACGTGCAGGTTAGTTACATATGTATACATGTGCCATGTTGGTGTGCTGCACCCACTAACTCGTCATTTAACATTAGGTATATCTCCTAATGCTATCCCTTCCCCCGAGTTTCACTTTTGTCACCCAGGCTGGAATGCAGTGGTGCAATCTTGGCTCACTGCCACCTCCACCTCCAGGGTTCAAATGATTCTCCTGCCTCAGCCTCCTGAATAGCTGGGATTATAGGCATGCACCACCACGCCCGGCTAATTTTTGTATTTTTAGTAGAAATGGGGTTTCACAATGTTGGCCAGACTGGTCTTGAACTCCTGACCTCAGGTGATCCACCAGCCTCGGCCTCCCAAAGTGCTGGAATTACAGGTGTGAGTCACCGTACCCGGCCACCATCTTTGCTTCTTTATCCACACCTTGCCTTGTTCTTCAGGGCTCTGCAGAGATATCATTTCCTCCAAGAGTTTCCACAACTCCGACTTCACAAAGATAGCACTTTTTTTTTTTTTTTTGAGACAGTCTCACTCTGTAGCCCAAGCTGGCGTGCAGTGGCACAATCTCAGCTCACTGCAACCTTCGCCTCTGGGGCTCAAGCGATTCTCCTTCCTCAGCCTCCCAAGTAGCTGGGACTAGAGGCGCGCGCCACCACACCCGGTTAATTTTTTTTGCATCTTTAGTAGAGGTAGGGTTTCATCATGTTGCCCTGGGTGGTCTCAAACTCCTGAGTTCAGGTGATCCCCCCGCCTTGGCCTCTCAAAGTGCTAGGATTACAGGCGTGAGCCACTGCGCCCAGCCAAGACAACACTTTCCTCATCCCAAAGCACCTGTTAATTCCCTGTAACAGCACTTGAACCCTGATTCGGCATGCATGTCCATTTTCCTGCCTCTACCGTGAACTCGTGTGAATTGATCTATGTCAGATTTAGTGGCTGCATTCACAGCTCCCGCAACTATAACGGGGTTCTCGGGAAATATATATCAAATGAGTGAATGTATATACGGGGCTGTGGCACAGCCTGCAACTTGAGACTTCTCACTAGGGGTCTTGAAATGCTGTCTGGACACCACCATCGCTTTCCTCCCTGAGAACTTCTACTTATCAACCCATTTATATACTCATCGCATGGGTCCTCACGCCCTCCCATTATTCTGGTGCCTCATGCCGGTCAAATTTATTCTCTAAATCTGATTTTTCCATTAAATAGCAGCCTGGCCAACACGGTAAAACCCCATCTCTACTAAAAAATACAAAATATTAGCCAGGCGCAGTGGCTTGCACCCGTAATCTCAGCTACTCGGGAGGCTGAGGCAGCAGAATCACTTGAACCCGGGAGGCAGAGGTTGTGGTAAGCCGAGATTGCACCACTGCACTCCAGCCTGGTAACAGAGCGAGACTCCCTCTCAAAATAAATAAACTGCTGACTCGCGTATTTTTTCTTTACCCCAACTCATTCCTTACATGTAGGCACCTGTAATCCTAGCTACTCAGAAGGCTGAGGCAGGAGAATCGCTTGAACCTGGGAGGCGGAGGTTGCGGTGAGCCAAAATCGTGCCACTGCACTCCAGCCTGGGCGACAGAGCGAGACTCCATCTCAAAAAAAAAAAAAAAAAAACCACATAGGCTCAGTCTTTTCAGTATCTGCTTTACTGGTTCAGTAAAAGCCAGGAAACACAACTTTGTGGTAATCTGAATGTTATTGAACTGTATTTTGTTCACTTTATTGTAAATACTAGTGAACAGTGAATAAATGGTTGTATATTCCTAATAAGAAAAAAAAAAAAAAAGACCCAAAGTACAGCGAGCTGATGCCGATCTCATTTCGCAGAGGTCCGCCTGCTCTCCCCTCTCCAAGAGTGTAATCCTATGCTTAATAAACTTATGCCGCTTTGCTATGTGTGTGTATCACACCCAATTCTTTGTTCGAAACACCAAGGGCCTGGAACTTCACAGCTTTGGCTGGTAACGGGGAGCAGGGGTAAAGACATTTAAAAGCTGCTTGTGTTAACCATAATCGCCATCCCATATATCAGACCCCCAGAACTAACTCATCTTATAACTGAATATTGTGCTTTTTTTTTTTTTTTTTTTTTGAGACGAAGTCCTGCTCTGTCACCCAGGCTGGAGTGCAGTGGCGCGATCTTGACTCTGCAACCTCCGCCTCCCGGGTTCAAGCGATTCTCCTGCCTCAGCCTCCCGAGTAGCTGGGACTACAAGTGCGTGCCACCACGCCCGGCTAATTTTTGTATTTTTAGTAGAGACGGGGTTTCTCCATGTTGGTCTCAAACTCCTGGTCTCAGGTGATCCACCCGCCTTGGCCTCCCAAAGTGCTGGGATTACAGACGTGAGCCACCACACCCAGCTACTTGTGCTTTTTGACCAACATCTTCCTCTCCTACCACCCCCAGCCCCTGATAACCTCCACCTACTCTCACTTCTAGGAGATCAACTGTTCTATTTTTTTTTTTTTTTTTTTTTTTTTGAGTCTCGCTCTGCACACCCAGGCTGGAGTGCAGTGCTGCAATCTCGGATCACTGCAACCTCCGCTTTCCGGGTTCAAGCGATTCTCCTGCCTCAGCCTCCAGAGTCGCTGGGATTACTGAGCCACCGCGCCCAGCCAGAAGACCCACGCTCCCTAAGACATAACCCACACTGGTGGCCTTTGTTCTGACTTCTCACCTGTGCTCCCCACCCGCTAGAAACTGGCTTCTCTCCCCACACTTCCTCTGAAGCTGTCTGTGTGACCAACACTAATGAGCTTCCTTCCTGGAACATGCAGTGACCCTTTTCAGCCCTTCTCATTATTGCTCCCCCACAGTTGTATTTGACACGTTGACCACTTCCTCCTCGAAGGACTCACTTCTCTGGCTTTCTCGGACACTTCTTGCTACTCGTTTTCTGACGGTTACAGTACCAACAGGTTTGCAGGCACCTCCACCACCAGAGCCAATCCCAGCTACTCGGGAGGCTGAGGCAGGAGAATCGTTCAAACCCGGGAGGCAGAGGTTGCAGTGAGTCGAGATTGCGCCACTGCACTCCAGCCTGAGTGACAGACTGTGACTCCTCAAAAAAAAACAAAAACAAAAACAAAAAAACTACAGTCTTGCTCTGTCGCCCAGGATGGAATGCAGTGGTGCCATCTTGGCTCACTGCAACCTCTGCCTGCTGGGGTCTAGCGATTCTCCTGCCTCAGCCCCCCAAGGAGCTGGGACTACAGGCATGTGCCGCCACGCCTGGCTAATTTTTGTATTTTTAGTGGAGATGGGGGTTTTACCATGTTAGCCAGGTTGGTCTTGAACTCCCGACCTCATGTGATCCGCCCACCTTGGCCTCCCAAAGTGCGAGGATTACAGGCCCCCGCACCCAGCCTAGGATCCTGCACCTCTCTAGCCTAGCAGTTCTCTGCTGGGTGATTTTGCTCTCCACTCCAGGGGACATTTGGCAATGCCCATGGTAATTTTTAATTGTCATGACTTGGGGAGGGGTTCTACTGGCATCTGGTAGGTAGGGTCCAGGGGTGCTGCTCAGCTTCCTACAATGCCCAGGGCAGCCCCAGATGGCAGCAGCACCAAGGCTGAGAAACACTGGCTCATGCAGAAAGCAACCACCTTACACCCTTCAGTGCAGGGACAAAGGCAGGGTTACGAGTCCACGGAAACTCTCCAGTCTCAGCCTACGTAAGACGTGGCTATTTTTCTTTCTTATTGTTTTTATTCATTTATTTTTCTTGAGACAGAGTCTTGCTCTGTCGCCCAGGCTGGACTGCAGTGGCGCGATCTCTGCTCACTGCAAGCTCCGCCTCCCGGGATCACACCATTCTCCTGGGACTACAGGCGCCCGCCACCTAGCCCGGCTAATTTTTTGTATTTTTAGTAGAGACGGGGTTTCACCATGTTAGCCAGGATGGTCTCGATCTGACCTCGTGATCCTCCCGCCTCGGCCTCTCAAAGTGCTGGGATTACAGGTGTAAGCCACCGCACCCGGCCTTATTCATTTATTTTTTGAGATAGAGTCTGAGCCCTTTATTTTATTTATTTAGAGACCAAGTCTCGCTCTGTTACCCAGGCTGGAGTGCAGTGTCGTGGCCTCAGCTCACTGCAACAACCTCCGCCTCCCGGGTTCAAGCGATTCTCCCACCTTGGCCTCCCAAAGTGCTGGCATTACAGACACCCACTACCATGCCTGGCTAATTTTTTGTACTTTTAGTAAGTAAAGACAGGGTTTCACCATCTTGGTCAGGATGGTCTCGAACTCCTGGCCTCAAGTGATCGGCCCGCCTGGGTCTCCCAAAGTGATGAGATTACAGGCGTGAGCGACCACACTGGCCTAATGTGTAGTTTTTTATCTGTGGCCTCCCTTCTGCCCTCCCCCTTCTGAGACTCTGAAGCCCATTACATCACTCTGCCTTTGTGTACCAACAGCTTAGCTCCCACTGAGAACATACAGAGCCAGGCACGGTGGCGGTGGCTCACGCCTGTAATCCCATCACTTTGGGGGTGCTGAGGCAGGTGTATCGCCTGAGGCCAGGAGTTCAAGACCAGTCTGGCCAACATGGTGAAACCCCATCTCTACTAAAAATAGAAAAATACATAGCTGGGTGTGGTGGCACGTGCCTATAATCCCAGCTACTAGGGAGGCTGAGGTTGGAGAATCGCTTGAACCCAGGAGGCGGAGGTTGCGGTGAGCCAAGATCACACCATTGCACTCTAGCCTGGGCAACAAGAGCAAAACTGTCTTAAAAAAAAAAAAAAAAAGTGAGAACATATGGATTCTACTCCTGTTAGAATAATGGCCTCCAGCTCCATCCAAATTGCTGGAAATGACATTATTTCATTCCTTCTAATGGCTGAATAGTATTCCATGGTACATAGACACCACGTTTTCTTTATCCACTGTAGGGACCAGCCCCACAGGGTCGGTGGGTCTCTCCCTGTGTGCGGCGACGAGAGAGTGTAGAAATAAAGACACAAGACAAAGAGACAAGAGAAAAGGCAGCTGGGCCCGGGGGACCACTACCACCAATGCGCGGAGACCGGTAGTGGCCCCGAATGTCT
This sequence comes from Homo sapiens, assembly GCF_000001405.40. Taxonomy (NCBI): domain Eukaryota; kingdom Metazoa; phylum Chordata; class Mammalia; order Primates; family Hominidae; genus Homo; species Homo sapiens. Next base: position 901,372 of record NW_003571058.2, read on the forward strand.
GGCTGCGCTGTTATTTATTGGATACAAGGCAGAAGGGGCAGGGTAAAGAGTGTGAGTCACCTCCAATGATAGGTAAGGTCACGTGGGTCACGTGTCCACTGGACAGGGGGCCCTTCCCTGCCTGGCAGCCGAGGCAGAGAGGGAGAGGAGACAGAGAGAAAGACAGCTTACGCCATTATTTCTGCATATCAGGGACTATTAGTACTTTCCCTAATTTACTACTGCTATCTAGAAGGCAGAGCCAGGTGTACAGGATGGAACATGAAGGCGGACTAGGAGCGTGACCACCGAAGCACAGCATCACAGGGAGACGGTTAGGCCTCCGGATAACTGCGGGCGAGCCTGACTGATGTCAGGCCCTCCACAAGAGGTGGAGGAGCAGAGTCTTCTCTAAACTCCCCCGGGGAAAGGGAGACCCCCCCCCCCACCCGCTGCCCCTTTCCCGGTCTGCTAAGTAGCGGGTGTTGTTAATTGACACCTTTTGCTACCGCTGGACCATGATCCGCTTGGTGACGGGTGTCTTCCCAGACGCTGGCGTCACCGCTAGACCAAGGAGCCCTCTGGTGGCCCTGTCCGGGCATAACAGAAGGCTCGCACTCTTGTCTTCTGGTCACACCTCACTATGTCCCCTCAGCTCCTATCTCTGTATGGCCTGGTTTTTCCTAGGCTATGATTATAGAGTGAGGATTATTATAATATTGGAATAAAAAGTAATTGCTACCGGCTAATGATTAATGATACTCATATATAATCATATCTAAGATCTATATCTGGTATAACAATTCTTGTTTTATATTTTATTATACTGGAACAGCTCGTGTCCTCTGTCTCTTGCCTCGGTGCCTGGGTGCCTTGCCGCCCACAATCCACTCATTATTCAATGGGCACTTCGGTTGGTTCCACATCTTTGCAATTGTGAATGGCTGAGCCAGCCATTCTTAACTGGGGGTGATTTTGTCCCCATGGGGGTATCTGGCCACATCCCGAGAGGTTTTTTGGTTGTCACGAGTTGCAGTGGGGGCAGGCTCAGGCTCATCCAAGTCCAGGGGTGCTGCTATACATCACGTGATACACAGGACAGTCCTTGCTACGGACTGAATTGGTCCCACCAAACGTCATGTACAAGCCCTACCCCAGATGTGACTCTATTTGGACACAGGGCTTTTCAGAGGTAATTAAGGCTGGTCAGGCGCCGTAATCACAGCACTTTAGGAGTTCTGTGTTTATTACTGGTAAGTGGGTAAGAGCCCAGTGTGGCAGCTCACGCGTGTAATCCCAGCACTTTGGGAAGCGAAGGCAAGGGGATAACTGGAGGCCAGCAGTTCAAGACAAGCCTGGTCAATACAGCAAGACTCCATCTCTATAAAATATTTTAAAATTAGCCAAGCATGTTTGGCATGCACCTGTAATCCCAGCTCAGGAGGCTCAGGTGGGAGGATTCCTTGAGTTTAAGGCTGCAGTGAGCTAAGATCGCACCATTGCACTCCAACCCGGCTGTGGGCAACACAGCACCACCACCATCTTGGCTGGGCACGGTGGCTCACGCCTGTCATGCCAGCACTTTGGGAGGCCGAGGCGGGTGGCTCACCTGAGGTCAGGAGTTTGAGACTAGCCTGGCCAACATGGTGAAATCACGCCACTGCACTCCAGCCTAGGCAACCAAGTGAGACTCTGTCCGCCCCACCACCCCACCAAAAAAAAGACTACTATCTTAAACAAAATCAAAATTTTTAAGTAGATAAAATATTTAGGGGAAAAAAACTTCAATTAAATATGCAGCAGAGTCCGACCCAGATGTTTTCACTCCCAGCCTCTACCTACTATCTTTGTGTCTTTATTTTTAGCAAATTCTACACGGGAACTTCATGTGCATGTAGAACCCTAAATGTTGACTCAGCCCTACCTCTCATCACCTGACCACTTCCTTTATTCACGCTGTCTCTACCACCCTTCCCATCGGTGTGAGCTGTATCCCGCTAAACACTGTTACCACCCACAGCCTGCATTACTACCAGCTGACTGTAGCCTTAAACACCACAGTGATCTCGAGCATTTGAGAAGACTTATCTTGACAAGGGCTCACGAAAGACAGCAATGCTCAACAGCAAGATAAATGAGGGCCTTCATGGGATCATTCAGTGCTGAAGCCACTCAACCTCCAGGTTTGGGTTAGTAAAAAGAACTTTGTCAGGCCAGGCACAGTGGCTCACGCCTGTCATCCCAGCACTTTGGGAGGCCAAGGCGGGCAGATCACCTGAGGTCAGGAGTTCAAGACCAGCCTGGCTAACATGGTGAAACCTCGTCTTTACTAAAAATACAAAAATTAGCCAGGCATGGTGACGCACACCTCTAGTCTCAGCTACTCCGGAGGCTGGGACAGAAGACTCACTTGAACCCAGGAGGCAGAGGTTGTAGTGAGCCAAGATCGCACCACTGCACTCCAGCCTGGGCGACAGAGGCAAGACTCCATCTCAAAAAAAAAAAAAAAAAAAAAAAGAAAAGAAAACTTTGTCATACAAGCTTTCAACCTAAAGCATTAGCCATATGCCCGTGTTTTTGTGCCTGGGACCATGACAACTTTCCCCATATCAATGCTCTTATTTTTTTTTTTTCGAGACAAGAGTTTTGCTCTTATTGCCCAGGCTGGAGTGCAGTGGCACAATCTCAGCTCACCGCAAACTCCGCCTCCCGGGTTCAAGCGATTCTCCTGCCTCAGCCTCCCGAGTAGCTGGGATTACAGGCATACACCACCCCACCCGGCTAATTTTGTATTTTTAGTAGAGACGGGGTTTCTCCATGTTGAGGCTGGTCTCGAACTCCTGACCTCAGGTGATCCGCCCGCCTCGGCCTCCCAAAGTGCTGGGATTACAGGTGTGAGCCACAGCGCCTGGCTGCTCTTATTAAAATAGTCTCATCACCTACCGCAAGCGTGGAGAGCCAAGTGAGGAGAGGGGTCAGTCCCTTTTGGCAGCGCCTGGAAGCCAGTGCTAACATCATGGTGACAACTTTTCATTCTTAAGGAAAATTGCGGAGTGACTTCTATGCATTTTCTATGAATGACCAAATACAGGGTGTGGAAAAGCTGTGTTTGCCATGGCAATGGGAAGCCGAGAGAAACGGGGAGGCGAGAGAGACAGAGACATACACAGAGACTCCCAGAGACAGCCACACAGACTCACACAGAAACAGACAGACAGGCTGGGCTCGGTGGCTCACGCCTGTAATCCCACCACTCTGGGAGGCTGAGGCGGGTAGATCACCTGAGGTCAGGAGTCCGAGAACAGCCTGGCCAACATTGTGAAACCCCGTCTCTAGTAAGAATACAAAAAATTAGCCAGGCATGGTGGCACAGGGCTGTAATTCCGGCTACTCGGAAGGCTGAGGCAGGAGAATCACTTGAACCTGGGAGGCGCGGTTGCAGTGAGCTGAGATCACGCCATTGCACTCCAGCATGGGCGACAAGAGTGAAACTCCGTCTCAAAAAAAAAAACAAAAAAAAAAAACGAAAGAACAGAGAGACACATACAAAGACAGAGATAGAAACGCCCAGCGACAGAGACACACACAGAGAAACACAGACAGACACAGAGACACACACACAGAAACAGACACAGAGACAGAGAGACAAAAAGACAGACACAGAGAAACAAAGAGAGACACACAGAGACAGAGAGAGAGAGAGACACATACACACACACACAGAGAGTAGGAGGCGGCCCGTGGGAGCCGAGCAGAACCAGCGTGAGGCAGGGCCATCTTCTGAATTAAAGGCAACAGTGACTGTAAGCTTGTGCTTTGTGAGTAACAGGATAGATTAGAACAGGGCTGGCTGCCCATGGCCCACGAGCTGTTTCTGGGAAGCCTCCGCAGGTGCCAGCCAGGCCCTGCGCTGCTTCCATGTCCAAAGGCACAGCTGAGAGCTGATGAGAGACCGCGGGGCCCACAGTGCCAAGCATATGAACTATCTGGCCCGTTTGTCAATGCGTGGGTTGATCACATAAGTTATGATCACATAAGTCACAAAGACACACTGATCACATAGATGCACCTGGCAGATAGTAGACCACATGGCGCCTGAGTTAGGGAAGAAAAGAAATAGAAGAATCAACCGAATCATCCCTGAACTTCTTAGCAATACTTCCTCCTAGACAAAGCACAGAGTACCATGTTTATTGCAGGTTTGCTCCTGAGCATGTCAATAAACGCAGCTGCAACGAGAGTGCTCTAACTTTATTATCCCTGTGAGAAAGTACATAGCGTCATGTGAAGGGGGTGCGTGACTCGTGCAGAATCTCCCAAAAATAGTGAGAAAACCAGTGTCAAATCCTACCTCTCGACAGACTCTAGTGTTAACATGTGACCCTCTGACCTGCATTCATAAGACATCTTAGAGACCCGAATCCCGCTTCCTGTGTAATTCGTAGAGCGATCCCAGGCTGCTCAGCAAAAAAAGTCACAGCACGGAGGTGCCGTTGCCCCGGAAGCATTGCAATCAATAGTCAGCTTGGGATTCTTTTCTTTCACTTCCTCCAACAGCTTCTTGATTTCCAAATTAGTTTCATAGGTCTTCAACCTGGAGGGATCAGAGAACACAAATGTTCCCAGAAATTCATTCTCAACTACCCAGGATGCCTGAATATCTGTTTTCAAACACTCAAAGCAGGAAACGTTTTTGGGATTTTCTGGGGGACAGGGTCTTGCTCTGTTGCCCAGGCTGGGGTACAGTGGTGCCATCTTGGCTCTCTGCAACCTCCAGCTCCCAAGTTCAAGCAATTCTCATGCCTCAGGCTCCTGAGTAACTGTGATTACAGGTGTGCACCACCACGCTTGGCTAAGTTTTGTATTTACAGTAGAGATGGGGTTTCGACATGTTAGCCAGGCTGGTCTCGAACTTCTGGCCTCAAGTGATCCATCCACCTCGGCCTCCCAAAGCCATGGGATTACAGATGTGAGCCACAGCACCCAGTCAGAAAAGTTTTCTAAAAAGAAATTTAGACCCACACAATGGGGATCCTTATAAGTCTAAGAAAAAAAAGATTATGGCCAGGCACGGTGTCTCGCACCTGTAGTCCCAGCACTTTGGGAGGCCAAGGCAGGCAGATTGCTTGAGCTCCGCAGTTCAAGGCCAGCCTGGGCAACACGGTGAAACCCTGTCTCTACCAAAAATAGAAAAAGTTAGCCAGGAATGGTGGTGCACGCCTATAGTCCCAGCTACTCGGGAGGCGGAGGCAAGAGGATCACTTGAGCCCAGGAGGCGGAGGTTGCAACGAGCTAGAGATTGCCCTACTGCACTCCAGCCTGGTAACAGAGTAAAACATGCCTTTAAAAAATAAATTTAAAAAATAGATAATCAGGCTGGTGCACGGTGACTCACGCCTATAATTCCAGCACTTTGGGAGGCCGAGGCGGGCAGATCACCTGAGGTCAGGAATTCGAGACCAGCCTGGCCAACATAGTGAAACCCCGTCTCTACTAAAAATACAAAAATTAGCTGGGCATGGTGGCAGACAACTGTAATACCAGCTACTCAGGAGGCTGAGACAGGAGAATCGCTTTGAACCTGGGAGGCAGATGTTGCAGTGAGCCAATACCGCACCACTGTACTGCAGCCCGGGTGACAGAGCGAGACTCTGCCTCCAAATAAATAAATAAAAAATAGTGGCAAATCAAACCTTCAGTAGAACTAAGAGAATGCCAGAGTGAACCCCAGGGTTAATGATAGCAAACTTGGCTCTAACGTGGCTGCAGCATGCAAGCCTGTGTATGTGAACATGAGGGGTGGTGATTGTGGAGACACTGGCTTGCTATGTTGCCCAGGCTGGTCTCAAACTCCTGGCCTCAAACAATCCTCCCACCTTGGCCTCCCAAAGGAGGAACTGAGGAATGAGAAAAGAAATACGCCCCAAACATATGACATAAGAGACCACAGGGGGCTAGAGATTTGTCACCAATAGTCCTTGGTGGCATTACAGACCTCGGTCCCACCAACAAGAGAAGCATGACACTATTTAGCTCAAGTTTCATGATATACCCCTAAAACCTTAACCCATTTATGCCAGAGGTTACAATTATTTGAACTGCAGACGTGTGAAAAATCGTACCTTGAGCAGGATATAAATAACTCCCACATGCTTAGCGTTCCAATAATGCAACACTGGGCATCATGAAGCAGTTTACATGCGTATCATCTCTACAACTAAAATAACTCTTGAATAAGACAAGTGGGCTGTGCACAGTGGCTCACGCCTGCAATCCGGGTACTTTGTGAGGCCAAGACAGGAGGATCGTTTGAAGCCAGGAGTTTGAGAACCTCGGCAACACGGCCACACAGTGCAGCAGAGCAAAACGTTGTCTCAGAAAAGAAAAGACAAAGGCAAGAAGAAACTAAAGGTAGATTACGTTAAAATAAGTCACTGAGGCCGGGCGCGGTGGCTCACGCCTGTAATCCCAGCACTTTGGGAGGCCGAGGTGGGCAGATCACCTGAGGTCAGGAATTCGAGACCAGCCTGGCCAACATAGTGAAACCCCATCTCTACTAAAAATACAAAAAATTAGCCGGGCGTGGTGGCGGGCGCCTGTAGTCCCAGCTGCTCGGGAGGCTGAGGCAGGAGAATGGCGTGAACCCGGGAGGTGGAGCTTGCAGTGAGCCGAGATCGCACCGCTTCACTCCAGCCTGGGCGACAGAGACTGGAGTCTCTGTCTCAAAAAAAAGACAGATTCAAAAAAAAAGACAGACTCCGTCTCAAAAAAAAGACTCCGTCTCAAAAAAAAATAAAAAATACAAATAAGTCATTGAAAAGATATACACGGGTCACAACTAAGGGAGCATCTGTAGGACGATCTTCTGAAAAGCTAAGACCCAGGACAGCTCTGGGAACTACCTATTTTTGGATATAATGATTAGGGGTGTGTGTGTGTGTGTGTGTGTGCTCATGCACACACATACACACAAGCTTCCAGTCTGTACTCCAGGATGATTTAAACTCTCAGTATGCCTAGGACTAAGTGTTTTGGGGGAAAGTTGGACAATATTCAATTCACAGAGCATTTTAGAAAAGTATCTAATTTTTAAATTATCTCCTAAGCTAGGAGTGTGCTATAGAAAGATGCCTTAAGTTGATCCCTACAAAGAGTACACACACTCCCAAAAAAACTCTTCTCTGCATGGGAAATTCACCATGTGAAACAGCCATCCCAGGGCCGAGCACAGTGGCTCACGCCTGTAATCCCGGCACTTTGAGAGGCTGAGGCAGGTGGATCACCTGAGGTTGGGAGTTTGAGACCAACCTGACCAACATGGTGAAACCCCATCTCTACTAAAAACTACAAAAATTGGCCAGGTGCAGTGGCTCATGCCTGTAATCCCAGCACTTTGGGAGGCCAAGGCGAGAAGATCACCTGAGGTCAGGAGCTCGAGACCAGCCTGGCCAACATGGCAAAACCCCATCTCTACTAAAAATACAAAAATTAGCTGGGTGTGGTGGCGAGCGACTGTAATCCTAGCTACTCAGGAGGCTGAGGCAGGAGAATCACTTGAACCCAGGAGGCAGAGGTTGCACTGAGCCGAGATAGCGCCACTGCACTCCAGCCTGGGGGACAGAGAGAGACTCTGTCTTTAAAAAAAAAAAAAAAAAAAAAAAATTAGCCAGCTGTGGTGGTGTGTACCTGTAATCCCAGCTACTCAGGAGGTTGAGGCAGGAAAATCGCTTCAACCTGTGAGAAGGAGGCTGCAGTGAGTCAAGATCGCGCCACTGCACTCCAGCCTGGGCAACAGTGAGACTCCATCCCAAAAAGCAAAAACCAAAAAGGCCGGGTGCAATGGCTCACCTCTGTAATCCCACCACTTTGGGAGGCCGAGGCAGGTGGCTCACCTGAGGTCAGGAGTTCAAGACTAGCCTGGCCAACATGGTGAAACCCCTCTCTACTAAAAAATTAGCCAGGCATGGTGGCAGGCATCTGTAATTCCAGCTACTTGGGAGGCCAAGGTGGGAGAATCGCTTGAACCCAGGAGGTGGGGGTTGCAGTGAGCCAAGATCGCACCACTGCACTCCAGCCTGGGCTACAAGAACAAAACTCCGTCTCAAAAAAAAAAAAAGAAAAAGAAAAAAATTAGCTGGACATGTTGGCATGCCTCTAGGCCCAGCTACTCATGAGGCTGAGGCAGGAGAATTGCTTGAACCTGAGAGGCAGAGGTTGCGGTGAGCCAAGATTGCGCCACTGCACTCCAGCCTGAATGACAGAGCACGACTCCATCTCAAAAAAACAAAAACAAAAAACAAAACAAAACAAAACAAAAAACCCATACCTGAGTATCTTCAAGGATCCAGTTCTTTGTCTTAGAACCCCAAAGAGCTTAATTATGCCACTCTTCCACAAATGATTCTGGCCCAGGTCCAGAGTTTCAAGCTTCTGATTGCTGAGGAGAGCAGATCCAAGATGCTGACAATAGAAAGGCATGAGGGAGCAGCTCCAGAGGCTGTTGAGGAAGAACATGGAAATCCACGCATTCACTGAGCAGGTAGTGGCTCAAGCGTGTAATCCCAACACTTCGGGAGGCCAAGGCGGGTGGATCACTTGAGGCCAGGTGTTCGAGACCAGCCTTGCCAACACGGTCAAACCCCATCTCTACTAAAAATACAAAGATTAGGCAGGGCGTGGGGACAGACACCTGTAGCCCCAGCACCTTGGGAGGCCGAGGAGGGTAGATCACCTGAGGTCAGGAGTTCGAGACCAGCCAGGCCAACATGGCAAAACCCCATCTCTACAAAAAATTAGCCATGCATGGTGGTGTGTGCCTTTAATGCTAGCTACTTGGGAGGCTGAGGCACAAGAATCGCTTCAGCCTGGGAGGCGGAGGTTACAGTGAGCCCAGATTGCGCCACTGCACTCCAGCCTGGGCAATAGAATGAGACTCCATCTCACAAATATATAACATAAAATGAAAATACAAAAATTAGCCAGGTATGGTGGAACCACCTATAATTCCAGCTACTCGAGAGGCAGGAGAATCGCCTGAACCAGGAGGCAGAGGTTGTAGTTAGCCAACATATCACCACTGCATTCCAGCTTGGGTGAAAGAGTGAGACTTGGTCTCAAACAAAACAAAACAAAAAAACAAGCAGCATATTTGCTGGGGCTCCAGTAGTGAGGAAAGGCAGAGGGGAGTGAGCAGAAGAAATCCTTGTCCTCAGAGTTTTTAGTGACAGCAGACATCTCGATATGTTCTATTGAAGACAATGGATGATGGTATTAAAATAAACAGGGTAGAGGTAAGTCAAACAGAGAGGCATTGATTGGCTAGACTTATGCTGGTCATTTAAGTCCTCTTTTGGAAAGTGATATGAGGAAAGAAACTGAAGGATGGTAGATCATGAACCAGCATGCTAACTGGGGGAGGGAATCTTGTAAATAAAATACTGAGCTAGTGAGAAAGTAGAATGATTTATGGCTCATAACTTACACGAGGATCCCCCATAAGGCCCTGTAGGCCACTGTAGAAGCCTTTGGTTTTGTTTTTTTTAAGGCAGAGTTTCACTCTTGTTGCCAAGGCTGGAGTGCAATGGCGTGATCTCGGCTCACTGCAACCTCCGCCTCCTGGGTTCAAGCGATTCTCCTGCCCCAGCCTCCCGAGAATCTAGGATTACAGTCATAGCTGAGATTACAGGAACAAGACACCAGGTAATCCACCCGTTTGCATTGAGCTTTTGAGTCTTTGGAAATAAAGGTATCACGGTCTGGCTTGAGGCTTGAAATATTCCTCAGGGGGATGGGTTAAGAAACTTCAGGAGGCCAGGAATGGTGGCTCATGCCTGTAATCCCAGCACTTTGGGAGGTTGAGGCAGGTGGATCACTTGAGGTCAGGAGTTTGAGACCAGTCTGGCTAACATGGTGAAACCTGGTCTCTACTAAAAATACAAAAATTAGCTGGGTATGGTGGTGCACGCCTGTAATCCCAACTACTCAGCTCAATCAGGAGAATCGCTTGAACCTTGGAGGCTGAGGTTGCAGTGAGCCAAGATCGCACCACTGCACTCCAGCCTGGGTGACAAAGCGAGACTCTGTCTGAAAAAAGAAAAAAAGTACCCTGTGTTCTAGTGTTTTTTTTCTTTACTCTACAGCAAAGCTAAGTAGTAATGACGTGCAGATTCTCTTTGCATTAGGATTGCAGATTCTAGTTGGAAAATAGGTTGCATCCAAGAGATGCAACTGACAAACTTTGGGGAGAGAAGTGATGAAGAGCTCGCCATTCCATTTGTGGAGACTTTGCATTTTCTGGGGGTGGTATCCCACCTATGGTTCCCTGGGTTTATGAGGTGGGGCAGGCTCACTGCTTCCTGATTACTGGATCCCAGCAGAAGCAGCATGCTGCTGAAGTCCAGGTCACTGGGGGCCATTGTTATATATATTTCACTTCTCCAGGCCCTCTACCTGACTTTAGAAGTGCCCACCCACATATATTCAGTTTCTGGAGGGGTTTGATCTTAAAACTGGATCCGAAGTGATACAGTCTGAGATATTGAAAACATAGAAATTGGCCGGGCGTGGTGGCTCACGCCTGTAATCCCAGCACTTTGGAAGGCCAAGGCGGGCAGATCATGAGGTCAGGAGATCGAGACCATCCTGGCTAACACTGTGAAACCCATCTCTACTAAAAATACAAAAAAAATTAGCCAGGCACGGTGGCGGGCATCTGTAGTCCCAGCTACTCAGGAGGCTGAGGCAGGAGAATAGCGAGAACCCGGGAGGAAGAGGTTGCAGTAAGCCGAGATCGCGCCACTGCACTCCAGCCTGGGCAACTAGAACGAGGCTCCGTCTCAAAAAAAAAAAAAAAAAAAGAAAACATAGAAATTAAGGATTTCCAGATTTCCAAACACTTTAAAAATGAGGCCAGGCATGATGGCTCATGCCTGTAATCCTAGCACATTGGGAGGCCGAGGTGGGAGGATTCCTTGAGCACCAGAATTCAAAACCAGCCCGGGAAAGATGACAAGACCTCATCTCTACAGAAAACAGTTACCTGGCCATGGTAATACATGCCTGTAGAGCCAGCTACTCAGGAGGCTGAGGTGGGAGAACCGATCAAGCCTGGAAGACCGAAGCCGCAGTGAGCCGTAATCACCCCACTGCACTCCAGGCTGGGGGACAGAGCAAGACCCTGTCTCAAAAAAAGAAAGAAAGAAGAAAAAGAAAATCGCCTACCGTAGGTGTTTTAGGTTACAGTTTGGATTCTCTAATGCCTGACAGAGAATCCACAATCCACGAGCTATCTGGTTGATACTCAAGTCCAGGTTTGTGAGGCTGCAGGCTTCTTGGAGCGCCTCTGAGAGATATCTACAGCCAAGCTTGGTTATGCTGCATTGCTGTAACCTACAGGATAATCAAAGGAAGAGAAGCCTGTTATCCCTCTGGCTAACGCCCTGTGAAGCAGTTATTTCCAACACTATATACCTTCCACTTATATACTGGAATGCAGTGCTGCACTCTTGGCTCACTGCAACCTCTGCCTCCCAGGTTCAAGCGATTCTTCTGCCTCAGCCTCCCAAGTAGCTGGGATTATAGGTGCCCGCCACCTATATAACCAGACTTGGTGGTGCACGCCTGTAGTGCCAGCTACTCAGAAGACTGAGGCAGGAGAATCGCTTGAATCCGGGAGGCAGAGGCTGCAGTGAGCTGAGATCGCGCCACTGCACTCCAGCCCGGGCGACAGAGCGAGACTCCGTCTCAAGAAAACAACAACAACAACAAAAAGTATTTATATAAAACATAGGTGGCAGGTAGGAATTGACCCATGAACTGGAGCTATATACTTCCAGGTGGGCTTGCACATAAAAGCATGCAAATGGGCCGGGCACAGTGGCTCACGCCTATAATCACAGCAGTGGGAGGCCAAGACGGGCAGATCATTTGAGGTCAGGAGTTCAAGACCAGCCTGGCCAACATGGTGAAACCCCATCTCTACTAAAAAATACAAAAATCGGGCCGGGCGCGGTGGCTCAAACCTGTAATCTCAGCACTTTGGGAGACCAAGGTGGGTGAATCACAAGATCAGGAGTTCAAGACCAGCCTGGCCAAAGTGGTGAAACCCCATCTTTACTAAATACAAAAATTAGCTGGGCACGATGGCTCACACCTGTAATCTCAGCACTTTGGGAGGCTGAGGCAGACAGATCACCTGAGGTCGGGAGTTCAAGACCAGCCTAAGCAATATGGAGAAACCCGTCTCTACTAAAAATACAAAATTAGCCAGGTGTGGTGGCACATGCCTGTAATCCCAGCTACTCAGGAGGCTGAGGCAGGAGAATCTCTTGAACTGGGGAGACGGAGGTTGTGGTGAGCAGAGATTGCACCATTGCACTCCAGCCTGGGCAAGAGCGAAACTCCATCTCAAAAAAAAAAAAAAATTAGCCAGGTGTGGCGGCCCATGCCTGTAATCCTAGCTACTCAGGAGGCTGAGGTAGGAGAATTACTTGAACCCAGGAAGCGGAGGTTGCAGTGAGCCAAGATCGCACCACTGCACTCCAGCCTGGTGACAGAGAGAGACTGTTAAAAAAAAAAAAAAAACATCCAAATGGCCTTCTGATTCCATCCATTTCCAGCTCTGCCTGGGACAACAGCTTAGGCTCTGGGTTCAGACCGACCCAGGACAGGATCTGAGCCCTGGGTCACTTATTTTCTGCGTGGTTAGATTATGGAAATTTCACTTTCCCTGTCATTTTATTTCATGTTTAAGTTTTGTCTTTAACTGACACATTCTACATATATAGGGGTATAGTGTGATGTTTTGGTGCAGGTACACTTCGTATAACGATCAGGTAGGTGACTGTTTGTTTAACAATAGTTATTCTAAGCCAGGCACAGTGGCTCATGCCTGGAACGCCAGCACTTTGGGAGGCCGAGGCAGGCAGATCACTTAAGGCCAGGAGTTCAAGACCAGCCTGGCCAACATGGTGAAACCTCATCTCCACTAAAAGTGCAAAAATTAGCCAGGCATGGTGGAGGGCACCTGTAATCCCAGCTACTTGGGAGGCTGAGGCAGGAGAATCGCTTGAACCTGGGAGGCAGAAGTTGCAGTCAGCCAAGATTACACCACTGCATTCCAGTCTGGGCGACAGAGTGAGACTTCATCCAAAAAAAAAAAAATGAATCTCAGAAATGACCACTAGCTAGAATTTCTGAACAGGAACAGGTCTTCAACCCTATGCAATCTCTTGAATATTTTTCTAACCATAATTTTAATGTGAACAGGTAGCTCACGCTGGGCTTCTTTCCATATAACAAGATTCAGCCAACTATAGTTCGTGGGTCAATTCCAACCTGCCACCTATGTCTTTTACAAATAAGGATTTTTGTTGAGTTTTTTTTTGTTTTTTTCTTGAGACGGAGTCTCACTCTGTCGCCCGGGCTGGAGTGCAGTGGCGCCATCTCAGCTCACTGCAGCCTCTGCCTCCCAGATTCAAGCGATTCTCCTACCTCAGCCTTCTGAGTAGCTGGTACTATAGGCACGCACCACCAAGCCTGGTTAATTTTTGTATTTTTTAGTAGCGATGGGTTTTCACCATGTTGGCCAGGCTGGTCTCGAACCTTAGGTGATCTGCCCACCATTCACCACCTGTTCCCCAATAACCTATGGAAATAAAAGTTTAAAAAAAGGTGCCACTGGCCCTACCACATAACTCAATCTACCTCCAATAGCAGGCAGTACTATGTCATAGGAATTTGAAAGAACACACACAAAGCATCAGATCCGAGAACCAACTACTCATCTCAAATCTTCCTTCATAGCAGGAAGAGGCTCTGCTGACATGCAAATATTAACATGTTTCTACCTGTATCTGCCTGGTTTTTTTTGTTTCTTTGTTTTTTTGAGAAGGAGTCTTGTTCTGTCGCCCAGGCTGGAGTGCAGTGGTGCGATCTCGGCTCACTGCAACCTCCGCCTTCCAGGTTCACGCCATTCTCCTGTCTCATCCTCCCAAGTAGCTGGGACTACAGGCATCCGCCACCACACCTGGCTAATTTTTGGTATTTTTAGTACAGACAGGGTTTCACCATGTTAACCAGGATGGTCTCCATCTCCTGACCTCATGATCCACCCGCCTCGGCCTCCCAAAGTGCTGGGATTACAGGCATGAGCCACCACGCCTGGCCTCTGCCTGTTCTTTAATTCTTACCAGGTTTTTAAAAGTTACATTTGAAATGAATTAACAAGTACTTTCATGTCTCTCCTGCTTGAATTCATGTGCACACACACACACACCCAGCAGGGACTTACACCAAGGTCTGCAGTTTACAATCAGGGTAACTCAAGCCCTCACACAGAAACTTCACCCCTGTATCCCCAATGGGGTTCTTGGCCAAGCACAGGTGTGTCAGCTTCTTGCTGACAACCAAGACAGCAGCAAGGTCCTTGCAACTGGCTTCTGTAAGACGACAGTTTTCCAACCTGCAAAAATATGAAACAAATGGTAGAAGGATGAGAACATTTCCACAACTCCAACCTGCTCAGTGATGTCCACATGCTAGGGTACTCAGCTTCAGCCCTTCCTGTTCATCCCCTGCCCTCTGTCCTGTGGGAGTCATCATGGCCACAAAAGAGCAGGAAGGCGAGAAGGCCAAGATGCAGCGGTCCACCTGGAGCCATCACAGGACACAGGTGTTGTTTTTGAGACGGAGTCTCGCTCTGTCGCCCAGGCTGGAGTGCAGTGGCGCGATCTCGGTTCACTGCCAATCGCCGCCTCCCAGGTTTACACCATTCTGCTGACTCAGCCTCCTGAGTAGCTGGGACTACAGGCGCCCACCACACCTGGATAATTTTTTGTATTTTTTAGTAGAGACGGGGTTTCACCATGTTAGCCAGGATGGTCTCGATCTCTTGACCTCGTGATCTCCCCGCCTTGGCCTCCCAACGTGCTGGGATTACAGGCATGAGCCACCGCACCCGGCCTGTTTTTGGTATTTTTAATAGAAACAGGGTTTCACCATGTTGGCCAGGTTGGTCTCGAACTCCTGAACTCAGATGATCCGCCCACCTCTCTGCTGAGATTACAGGCAGGAGCCACCGTGCCGGGCCTGAAGCAGGTGTTTATTTCAGCAAGAGGCGCCACGTGGGTGGCGCAGTAAGTCAGGTGTTACCCTTTCTCTTCTATAGCCCCAGAACTAAACCAGAGCTGCCCATGGGAAGAGGAGACTTACGACAACATCTGCAGGAAGTGTTTTGGGCGTGTCATGGTCTTGTACAGCAACATGGCACCCTCATCCAGGAGCACATTGGCTGAGAGACGCAGGTGCTTCAGGGACTGGTTGGCTTTGAGGACATAGAAGAATTCAGCCCACTGCTCCGGGGTGGCACAGTGACCTCCCAACCTGTGAAAAGAGTGGGAAAAGTCATTCTTCTGGGAGGACAGAGTATACCCTATCAGCTTTTTTTTTTTGAGACAGAGTTTCACTCTGTTGCCCAGTCTGGAATGCAAAGGCGTGATCTCACCTCACTGCAGCCTCCGCCTCCCGGGTTCAAGCTATTCTCCTGCCTCAGCCTCCGAAGTAGCTGGGATTACAGGCATTCGCCAATTTTTGTATTTTTAGTAGAGACGGGATTTCACCATGTTGGCCACACTGGTCTTGAACTCCTGACCTCAGGTGATCCACCCACCTTGGCCTACCGAAGTACTGGGATTACAGGTGTGAGCCACCGCGCCTGGCCCAGATCAGCTTCTTCTGCTTCACTTCCCAAGACATTATGTCTTTGGTTTATCTCATTCTACTCATGCCTCCAACCCTGGCCTGAATTACTGGAGAGATCTAATGTTGCCTCTGCTTCTTCAAGTATCCCCATGGCCATTAGGGTAACATCCAGCCACTTCTCCAAGAGATTGTAATACAATTCTGTGCAATGTTTCACCAAAACGGCCTGTGTGGATGATTTTGCAGGGGGGAAAAAAAAATTTTTTTTTTGAGACAGGATCTCGCTCTGTTGCCCAGGCTGGAGTGCAGTGGCATGATCACAGGTCACCACAACCTGTCTCCTGGGCTCAAATGATCCTCCCACCTCAGCATCCACTGTAGCTGGGACTAGAAGGGGCAAATTGATGCTTAATACTCAAAATAAAAATTTTATCCTGGCCAGGCGCAGTGGTTCATGCCTGTAATCCTAGCACTTTGGGAGGCCGAGACAGGCGGATCACTTGAGGTCAGGAGTTCGAGACCAGCCTGGCCAACATGGTGAAACCCTGTCTCTATTAAAAATACAAACATTTGCCAGGCGTGGTGGTGCACGCCTGTAACCCCAGCTACTCGGGAAGCTGAGGCAGAACTGCTTGAACCCAGGAGGCGGAGGTTGCAGTGAACGAGATCGCGCCACTGCGCTCCAGCCTGGGTGACAAGAATAAAACTGTCTCAAAGAAAAAAAAAAAAAAAAAAGATTCTCATTGAGTGCAGAGAAGGTTGCATGCTCCTTATGAATACCTAACTCCTGATGATCTGAGATTGATGATCCATTCTCCTCAGGCTCCCAAAGTGCGAGGATCATGCACTCCATAGGATCAGGCACCAACGATTAGCTCCTGTGCCTGATCTGAGATCGAACAGTTTCATCCCAAAACTACCCCCAAACCCGTCTGTGGAAAAAACTGTCTTGTGCAAAACCGGCCCGCGGTGCAGAAAAGGCTGGGGGCCACTGCTCTCAATCCCAACAATTAGGCAAGGTGCAGTCAGGAATAGCATGTCCCTAAAGCTGGAACCCAGCACAGAATTCGGGGTGTTTCTTTGCATGGATAGCTGGTTATGCAACACAGAAGACAAGCTGGTGGGGGAAAGAGGAGAGGCCGACTCCCCCACACAGGCCTGTTTGAGGAATACATTCCCTGTCTGGGACGGCATCTGGAGTGGTTACCCTTTTTCCTAGATCCCCCAGCAACACGGTGCAGTGGACTCCAGGTGCTGGGGAGAGCCGTGACCGTGAGACCCACCTCAGGTACTGCAGGTTGCATTTATGATTTCTGAGCAGGTCACACAGCATCAGCATCATCGTGCGTTCCCACTCGATGTGCCCTGCCAGGGTCAGGTGCGTGAGGGTCTTCTTCCCAATGAAAGCAAGACAGAAGTCCCGGTACGCGGTGTCAGGGGTGACGTTTTTAATCCTAGGGAAAAGCAGAAGAGATTCCACTTGGAGTGATTAATACTCACATTGTGTGGAGGCATGTATAAACAAAAAGCTGTTTCACATTTAGAAATTATTAGAAGTTCTTGGCCGGGTGCAGTGGCTCGTGTCTGTAACCCCAGCACTTTGGGAGGCTGAGGCAGGAGGATAACCTGAGGTCAGGAGTCTGAGACCAACCTGGGCAACATGGTGAAACTCCATCTCTACAAAAAATAAATTAGCTGGGGCCGAGGCAGGCAGATCGCCTGAGGTCAGGAGTTCGAGACCAGCCTGGCCAACATGGGGAAGCCCCGTCTCTACTAAAAATACAAAAATTAGCTGCACATGGAGGGGCATGCTTGTAGTCCCAGGTATTCGGGAGGCTGAGGTAGGAGAATCACTTGAATCCAGGAGGCAGAGGTTGCAGTGAGCCGAGACCGCACCACTGCACTCCAGCCTGGGCAACAGAGCAAGACTCCATCTCAAAAGAAAAAAAAATTCGCCGGGTGTGGTGGCTCACGCCTGTAATCCCAGCACTTTGGGAGGCCGAGGCCGAGGCGGGTGGATCACGAGGTCAGGAGATCAAGACCATCCTGGCTAACACGGTGAAACCCCGTCTTTACTAAAATTACAAAAAACTAGCCGGGCGTGGTGGCGGGCGCCTGTAGTCCCAGCTACTCGGGAGGCTGAGGCAGGAGAATGGCATGAACCCGGGAGGCAGGGCTTGCAGTGAGCCGAGATTGCTGCACTGCACTCCAGCCTGGGGAACATAGCGAGACTGTCTCAAAAAAAAAAAAAAAAGTCAAGAAGCAGAGGATCAGGAAAAACAACTAAGGGGTACTAGGCTTAATACTTGGGTGACAAAATAATCTGTACAACAAACTCCTATGACACACGGTTACCTGTGTAACTAACCTGTACTTGTACCTACTTTTTGGTTTGTTTTGGTAACAAAACAAACCAAAAAAAAGATAGCTGGGGCCAGGCATGGTGGCTCATGCCTGTAATCCCAGCACTTTCGAAGACCGAGGCAGGCGCATCACCTTAGGTCAGGAGTTCGAGACAAGCCTGGCCAAGATGGAGAAAATTCCACCTCTACTAAAAACACAAGATTAAGTCATTGCACTCCAGCGCCTAGGTGACAGAGTGAAACTCTGTCTCAGAAAAAATAAAAAATAAAAAAGGGGCCAGGTGCAGCGGCTCATGCCTATAATCCCAGCACTTTGGAAGGCCGAGGCAGGCAAATCACCTGAGGTCAGGAGCTCGAGATCAGCCTGGGCAACACGGTGAAAACCTGTCTGTGCTAAAAGTACAAAATTAGCCGGGCAAGGTGGCACATGCCTGTAATCCCAGCTACTCGGGAGGCTGAGGCAGGAGAATTGCTTGAACCTGGGAGGTGGAGGATGCAGTGAGCTGAGATCGCGCCATTGCACTCCAGCCTGGGCAACAAGAGTAAATCTCCGTCTCACCAAAAAAAAAAAAAAAAAAAAAGACAGCTGGAAAATCCCCAAATACATGGAGATGAAACAGCACATTTCCAAATTTAAAAAACAAAAGTACAAGAAGCTTAGTCATCGTTCAGGGTCTTCCTTGCAAGATGAGCTTCTACTTACTCCACTTTCTGCAGATGACAGGTGCTACGGGTTACGTGGTCACAAAGAATCCGCACAGAAGAGTCACTCAGGAAGCTTTGTTTCACTTCCAGAAACTTGAGGTTGCTGTTTGAGCTGAAGAGAGAGCAGAAATCTGTCCAGAGGCGAAGAGAGCGAAGATCCTGCCGAGCCCAGTTCGGAATGGTTAGGTAAGTGCACCTGCAGGAGAACACACGTTCATCTCTTAGGACTAGTACCTGCATGGTGAGATGGGCATCTGCAAACCACATTTCAATGGCAAAAACCACAATTACTTTTGCACCAACCTAAAACAGTGTCTATAGTAAACAATATTGCATCACATGCTTTGCTACCAGTATAGATCTTAAGTTTTACAAAAAAAATAAAATAATAGATAAGGCTGAGTGAGGTGGCTCATGCCTGTAATCCCAACACTTTGCTAGGCCAAAGTGGGAAGATCACTTGAGCCCAGGAGTTTAAGACCAACTTGGGCTAGAAACTGAGACCCCCATCTCTACAAAAAAATAAAATAATTAACCGGGCAAGGTGGTGCACGCCCATAGTCCCAGCTACTCGGGAGGCTGAGGCAGGAGAATCACTTGAACCCGGGAGGCGGAGGTTGCAGTGAGCCAAGATCGCGCCACTGCACTCCAGCCTGGGGGACAGAGCGAGACTCCGTCTCAAAAATAAAAAGCCCCAATTCCTAATTGCCAAGTCGTGTCTCCACGTTGAACATGAAGCTGGAAAGAAGTCCAGCCAGAGGGAAATTCTGACAGTAAGCGACAGGGCAAAGGAGACGCTGGCCTCTTCCTAGTGGAGCGTGGGATGGGAAAACAGTTCTTACCTTTCAAATTCAATGTCCAGTTCAAAATCCATGTAATTCTCCAGGAACACCCCCTTTGCTACCTGCAGTGAGAGTTTCTGCAAGTCTTGACAATGCTTCAGGCTGAAGGAACAATGCATCACTTCAGAAGTATTTGTCAGGTGAATAGAAATTTCCTTGAACGGGGCCACCACCACCTTCGCCAGCTCCTCCTCCTGAGACTCATACAGGCAGCCCAAGACCTCCTTCAGGTCGGTCACGGATAAGGGCTTATTTGCATGAAGATGTGCTTTGCATTGCAGCAATTCCTGTTTGATGTCCGGTGACATCCGGCAGCCAAAAGTGGCCTCCAACTCCTTGGCTCTCTTCTCGTTAGCGAGGCCGAATAAGAAGTGTCCTACTTGAATCAGGTCGGGGTTCTTGAGTCTTTCTTCTCCGGAAAGCAGCTTCTGTACGTCCCCGATGTCCCAGGCGTGGCCGTCCCTGTCCTCCCCCTCCTCCTTCTCCAGGGCGTAGAACAGGGCAGTGAGAAACTGCTGGAAGCTGAGGTGGATGAAGGAGTAGCAGCCTTTGGAGACTCTGTCCTGGCGGAGGATGTCTCCGTCCAGGAACAGACGGAGGTCGGACTCCTGCACCCCGAGCCTTTCCAGGTCCTCTCGGTGGAACACGGACATCTGCGCCCACAGGCCCTGCGCGGCCAGGAGGCTCAGCGTCCGCAGCGCGCCCCGCAGCTGTGCGCCCTGCGGGAACCGGCTGCAGAGGAAACGCAGGAACAGCCCCGTGCGGGTGAGGCAGGTGGGGACCGGGTCCTCCCCCTTCTCCATCTGCAGCTTCAGAGTCGTGCACACAATCCAGCACACCGCGGGGGCCGAGCCCAGCTGGAACAGGGCCGCGTTGCTCCTCATTAGCTCAAAGGCACGCATGGCTTGGTCCTCGTCTCCAAAGTGTCTCAGGAAATAGGCCCTCCTGTCCTCCTCCAGGAAGCCCTCCACCCTTACGTAGATCGGCTGCTGCGCCAGGAGCTGGAGGTCCCTCAGTGCCCTGGGCCGCGTGGTGACCAGCAAGGCTGCCCTGGGTAACATCTTCCTCTTCAGCAAACTCCCCAGGAGGACGGGCACCGGCTTCTTCTTCTCCCAGTCCCCGCAGATGTCCTGGATCAGCGCCCCAGGTGGGACTTTCAGCTCATCAAGGCCATCGACCACGAACAGGATTCTCTGTGCTTGGGCTAGGATGCTTGGAATGTCATCCTGCAATTCAGGCCAGTCTTTGGAGATCAGCTCTGCAAAACTGCAGGGGCCCATGCGGCTGAGCTCCTTGCAGCTGAGGTAGAACGCGTATCTGAGCGTCGGGCTGAGGTTGCAGTCTGTCCAGTCCAGCATACACTTTTTGGCCAGCGTGGTTTTCCCCACGCCTGCGGGGCCGTGCAGCACCACCGTGTAAGGTGTTAGCTTCCTGGGTGTTCTGGGATTCAAGAATGGAATGAACCGTTGGTTTCTCAGAGTGACGTCGTCATGGAAATTGTCAATGTCTCCTTGCCAAAAGGTGTTCTTCCAGACCAAAGACTGTTTCTCCATTGAATTTCTCCATCCTTCCTTTTCACCTGCAGTGACAGCCCATAGGACAGTTGAGGTTGATGATGATGATTTTCTGAATTATTTTGTCAAGTACCAGAAATGAGGGCCAGGCACGGTGTCTCATGCTTGTAATCCCGGCACTTTGGGAGGCCAAGGTGGGTGGATCACTTGAGGTCAGGAGTTCAAGACCAGCCTGGCCAAGATAGTGAAACCCCATCTCTACTAAAAATACAAAACATTAGCTGGGGGTAGTGGCGGCCGCCTGTAATCCCGGCTACTCAGGAGGCTGAGGCAGAGAATTGCTTGAACCCGGGAGGCAGAGGTTGCAATGAGCAGAGACGGAGCCACTACACTCCAGCCTGGGCTACAGAGCAAGATTCCGTCTCAAAAAAAAAAAAAACTACCAGAAATGAATAAAACCAGGAAGAAGTGATGCACCTTGCATGCTCTCAAACACCAAACTCATGACCATAGGACCGTATTTACCCACCTGGCTTTGCTAACTCCGAGTCTTCTTCTGCATCTCCCAGCTCAGGATTATCTATTTCTTGCACCTGTCCGTCCTCTGTAAAATACTTAGATGTAAGCCTGACACAGTAATTTACACTTCGTAAATCAGACATTATTGTACATAAAGTGTCAGCCAGGCATGGTGGCTCATGCCTGTAATCACAGCACTTTGGAAGGCTGAGGTGGGCGGATCACAAGGTCAGGAGATCAAGACCAGCCTGGCCAACATGGCAAAACCCCATCTCTACTAAAAATACAAAAAAAAAAAAATTAGCCAGGTGTGGTGAAACACGCCTGTAATCCCAGCTACTCCGGAGGCTGAGATAGGAGAATCACTTGAACCCAGAGGCGGAGGTTGCAGTGAGCCCAGATCTCGCCACTGCACTCCAGCCTTACACTCCAGCCTGGGCGACAGAACGAGACTCCATCTCAAAAAAAAAAAAAAAAAAAAAAAAATGACCAGGACACCCCAGGTTCTACTTACCCATCATCTCAGCCTTTGCCATCTTACACAATTCCGTGAGATTCATCTCTTCCAAGATGTTCACAGTCGCATTCCTTATCCAATTTTCTGAGGAGGTGTTGACCAGAATTTCTGCCAGTTTCTTGCCATCAGCCTCTTCCACCTCAGACCATGGGGTCTTCTGTAGCACGTCTTCGAGGGGAAAAGCCCATAAAAGGGATTTGAAACTCTTTAATTCATCCTCGTTCAGCTGCTCCAGAAGGGTCTGCAGAGTCCACTCTAGCTGGGGCGATGTCATAGTGCTCCGAGTATGAGACCTTAGGTTAAGGCTGAAGAACTGGGGGGAAAAAAGGAAAAACAGTTCACGAGTTACCATCATTAAATGAAACCACAGTTTCCTGTGTGCCAAGAACAAGACTGTTCCTGCTGTACAGTGAGTGGTAAAATATTCCAAAGACTGAATTAAGAGACTGAAAATCTGGCCCAGCACGGTGGCTCACGCCTGCGGCCAGGAGTTCGAGACCAGCCTGGCTAACTTGGTAAAAAGAACGAACAAAAGGCTGGGCACGGTGGCTCACGCCTGTAATCCCAGCACTTTGGGAGGCCGAGGCGGATGGATCACGATATCAGGAGATCGAGACCATCCTGGCTAACACAGTGAAACCCCTGCCTCTACTAAAAAAATACAAAAAATTAGCAGGGCGTGGTGGCGGGCACCTGTAGTCCCAGCTACTCGGGAGGCTGAGGCAGGAGAATGGTGTGAACCCGGGAAGTGGAGCTTGCAGTGAGCAGAGATCTCACCATTGCACTCCAGCCTGGGCGACAGAGCGAGACTCCGTCTCAAAAAAAAAAAAAAAAAAAAAAAAAAGAATACAAAGAATGAAGGGTCAGTGGTATGCTAGGGCCAGCCCGTGCTGCCTAATGGGGGCTTCCTATATGTACCTATACCAACGTCCATGGGCTGTGATTTCACACTGATAGTACAAAATCACAAGGGGAGTGTTTATGCCACAGAAATCAGCAAACACGGCAGGGCGCGGTGGCTCACGCCTGTAATCCCAGCACTTTGGGAGGCCAAGGCGGGTGGATAACCTGAGGTCGGGAGCTCAAGACCAGCCTGACCAACACGGCGAAACCCCATCTCTACTAAAAATACAGAAATTACAGGCGGGTGCCTGTAATCCCAGCTACTCAGGAGGCCGAGACAGGAGAATCACACTTGAACCTGGGAGGTGGAGGTTGCATGATCTGAGATCACGCCATTGCACTCGAGCCTCGGCAACAAGAACAAGACTCTGTCTCAAACAAACAAAAAAACAAATCAGCAAACACTACAAACCAAGACTTCCTCGCCACCAACCCTCAGAGCCACTTGTTTAACATTTCAGCCCACCACTGAATGACACATTGAAAACAAATAGCAAGAGGACAGATATAAATATAACTGTACTGGCCGGGTATGGTGGCTCAGGCCTGGAATCCCAGCACTTTGGGAGGCTGAGGCAGGTGGATCGCCTGATGTCAGGAGTTTGAGACCCGCCTGGCCCACATGGTGAAACCCCATCTCTACTAAAAATACAAAAGCTAGCCAAGTGTAGTGGTAGGAACCTGTAATCCCAGGTACGTGGGAGGCTGAGGCAGGAGAATCGCTTGAACCCAGGAGGCGGAGGTTGCAGTGAGCTGAGATAGCGCCATTGTACTCCAGCCTGGGCAACAAGAGCGAAACTCTATCTCAAAAAAAAAAAACTTAGCCAGGCCTGGTGGAACATACCCGTAGTCCCAGATACTTGGGAGGCTGACACAGGAGGATTGTTTGAGCCTACGATTTGGAGGTTGCAGTGAGCCAGCCACTGCACGCCAGCCTGGGTGACAGAGTGAGGCCCTGTCTCAAAAGTAAGTAACTAATGGCCGGGTGCGGTGGCTCACGCCTGTAATCCCAGCACTTTGGGAGGCCGAGGCAGGCGGATCACGAGGTCAGGAGATCGAGACCATCCTGGCTAACACGGTGAAACCCCGTCTCTACTAAAAATACAAACAATTAGCCGGGCGTGGTGGCGGGCGCCTGTAGTCCCAGCTACTCGGGAGGCTGAGGCAGGAGAATGGCGGGAACCCGGGAGGCGGAGCTTGCAGTGAGCGGAGATCGCGCCACCGCACTCCAGCCTGGGCGACAGAGCGAGACTCCGTCTGGGTTGGGGGGGCGGGGGGAAGAGGCAGCCTGGAAAATAAATAACAGAAAAAGTGACTTGCCAAGCCCGGGTGCTGATAGAGGTGGACAGCTTTACCCTTGGAGGGAACAGCAAATCTTTTTCCCCAGCTGTGACGTGTGGGGAAAAGGAGGACAGATCAGACTGTTACTGTGTCTATGTAGAAAGAAATAGACATAAGAGACTCCATTTTGTTCTGTACTAAGAAAAATTCTTCTGCCTTGAGATGCTGTTAACCTGTAACCCTAGCCCCAACCCTGTGCTCCCAGAAACATGTGCTGTGTCACACGTGGGTTTAGGGCTATGCAGGATGTGCTTTGTTAAACAGATGCTTGAAGGCAGCATGCTTGTTAAAAGTCATCACCACTCTCTAATCTCAAGCACCCAGGGACACAATACACTGCGGAAGGCTGCAGGGACCTCTGCCTAGAAAAGCCAGGTATTGTCCAAAGTTTCTCCCCATGTGATAGCCTGAGATAAGGCCTCGTGGGAAGGGAAAGACCAGACCGTACCCCAGCCCGACACCCGTAAAGGGTCTGTGCTGAAGAGGATTAGTATAAGAGGAAGGCCTTTTTGCAGTTAAGAGGAAGGTATCTGTCTCCTGCTCGTCCCTGGGCAATGGAATGTCTCGGTGTAAAACCCGATGGTATGTTCCATCCACCGAGATAGGGGAAAACCGCCTTAGGGCTGGAGGTGACACATGCTGGCAGCAATACTGCTCTTTAATGCACCAGATATGTTTATGTATGAGCACATCAAGGCACAGCACATTTCCTAACCTTGTTTATGACACAGACATTTGCTCACATGTTTTCCTGCTGACCCTCTCCCCACTGTTACCCTATTGTCCTGCCACATCCCCGTCTCCGAGATGGTAGAGATAATGACCAATAAATACTGAAGGAACTCAGAGACCCGGCCGGCGCGGGTCTCCTGAGCCCACTTTTCTTTCTGTGTACTTTGTCTCTGTGTCTCTTTCTTTTCTCAGTCTCTCGTCCCACCTGACAAGAAACACCCACAGGTGTGGAGGGGCAGGCCACCCCTTCAGTGAGGTATAATTACATATATCCTATTTTAGGATGGAGCAGGAAGAGCATGAGAGCCCAGGAGTTCCAGACCAGCCTGGGCGACACAAGGAGACCTTGTCTCTATTTTTTAAGTATTTTTAAAGTAATATATACAACGTTTACTTGTCAAAGTGTACAGCATGGAGCGATGTTATATATACAGTGAAATGATTACCACAATCCAGCTAATTAACATATCCACTGCTTCATATAGTTGCCTTTCGTTTTTGCAGTGACAACGCTTGATGTACTTAGAAAAATTCAGGGTTTTTTGGCCAGGCACGGTGGCTCACGCCTGTAATCCCAGCACTATGGGAGGCCGAGGCGGGCAGATCACAAGGTGAGGAGCTCAAGACCATCCTGGCTAACACGGTGAAACCCCGTCTCTACTAAAAATACAAAAAAAAAATTAGCCGGGCATGGTGGCGGGCGCCTGTAGTCCCAGCTACTTGGGAGGCTGAGGCAGGAGAATGGCTTGAACCTGGGAGGCGGAGCTTGCAGTGAGCCAAGATCGCGCCACTGCACTCCAGCCTGGGCGAGTGAGACTCCCTCTCAAAAAAAAAAAAAAAAAGAAAAGAAAAGAAAAATTCAGGGTTTTTTTTTTCTTTTTCAGAAAGTCTTGCTCTGTCGCCCAGGCTGGAGTGCAATGGTGCGAGGCTTACCACAACCTCCTCTTCCCGGGTTCAAGCGATTCTCCTGCCTCGGCCTCCCAAGTAGCTGGGATTACAGGTATGCCCCACCACACCTAATTTTTTTTGTATTTTTAGTACAAACGGGGTTTCACCATGTTGGCCAGGCTGGTCTTGAACTCCTGACCTCAGGTGATCTGCCCACCTCAGCCTCCCAAAGTGCTGGGATTACAGGTATGAGCCACCAGGCCTGGCCAAGTATTTTTTTTCCCAAGTACATTTTTTTCTTTTTTTCTTTTTTTTGAGATGGAGTCTCCCTCTGTTGCCCAGGCTGGAGTGCAGTGGCACAATCTCGACTCACTGCAACCTCCACCTCCCAGGTTCAAGTGATTCTAGTGCCTCAGCCTCTCAAGAAGCTGGGATTACAGGCGCACCGCATCACGCCGGGCTAGTTTTTGTATTTTTAGTAGAGACAGGGTTTCTTGTTTTTTTCTGAGATGGAGTCTTGCTCTGTCACCCAGGCTGGAGTGCAGTGGCGCGATCTGGGCTCACTGCAAGCTCCGCCTCCCAGGTTCACGCCATTCTCCTGCCTCAGCCTCCCAAGTAGCTGGGACTACAGGCGCCCGCCACTATGCCCAGCTAATTTTTTTTGTATTTTTAGTAGAGATGGGGTTTCACCGTGTTAGCCAGGATGGTCTCGATCTTCTGACCTCGTGATCCGCCCGCCTCGGCCTCCCATAGTGCTGGGATTACAGGCGTGAGCCACCGCGCCCGGCCGAGACAGGGTTTCTCTATGTTGGCCAGGCTGGCCTCGAACTCCTGACCTCAGCTGATCCACCCGCCTCGGCCTCCCAAAGTGCTGGGATCACAGGCGTGAGCCACCGCATCTGGCCATTTACATTTTTTTTTTTTTTTGATGCAGCATTTCACTCTGGTTGCCCAGGCTGGAGTGCAGTGGCGCAATCTCAGCTCACCGCAACCTCCGCCTCCCGGGTTCAAGTGATTCTCCTGCCTCAGCCTCCCGAGTAGCTGGGATTACAGGCATGTGCCACCACGCCCAGCTAATTTTGTATTTTTAGTAGAGATGGGGTTTCTCCATGTTGGTCAGGCTGGTCTCAAACTCCCGGCCTCAGGTGATCTGAAAGTGCTGGGATTACAGGCGTGAGCCACCGCGCCCAGCCTACTTTTTTTTTTTTTTAAACAGGGTCTTCATCTCATCCAGGCTGGAGTGCAGTGGCTCAATCACACCTCATTGCAGCCCCCACCTCCTGGCTCAGGTGATCCTCCCACCTCACCCCACAAGTAGCTTGGACACAGCACAAGGTCTGGCCTTCTTTGTTTTTTGAGACGGAGTCGCACTCTGTCTCCCAGGCTGGAGTGCAGTGGCGCGATCTCAGCTCATTGCAACCTCCCCCTCCTAGGTTTAAGCTATTCTCCTGCCTCAACCTTCCAAGTAACTGGGATTACAGGCATGCACCACCACACCTGGCTAATTTTTGTGTTTTTAGTAGAGACAGGGTTTCACCATTTTGGGCAGGCTGGTCTCAAACTTCTGGCCTCAAGTGATCCACCCGCCTCGGCCTCCCAAAGTGTTGGGATAACAGGCATGAACCACTGTGCCTGGCCTTATATTTTTTTGTAATGACAGAGTTTTACCATGTTGCCCAGGCTAGTCTCAATCTCCTGAACTCCTCTAAACTATATTTGAATAGAAGTCCTTAAGACATTAGGCCAGGCGTGGTGGCTCACACCTGGAATCCCAGCACTTTGGGAG
This sequence comes from Homo sapiens, assembly GCF_000001405.40. Classification (NCBI taxonomy): domain Eukaryota; kingdom Metazoa; phylum Chordata; class Mammalia; order Primates; family Hominidae; genus Homo; species Homo sapiens. The sequence continues at coordinate 929,160 of NW_003571058.2, forward strand.
GCCGAGGCAGACAGATTACCTAAAGTCAGGAGTTCAAGACCAGCCTGGCCAACATGGTGAGACCCCGTCTCTACTAAAAATACAAAAATTAGCTGGGCATGGTGGCACGTGCCTGTAGTCCCAGCTACTCAGGAGGCTGAGGCAGGAGAATGGCGGGTGAACCCAGGAGGCGGAGTTTGCAGCGAACCAAGATCACGCCACTGCACTCCAGCCTGGGCGACAGAGGGAGACTCCGTCTCAAAAAAAAAAAAATCAAAGATCCTTCCAGCATCCTCGCACCAACCATTAAGGCTTGGGAAGGGCTATGGTGGAAACTCAACCAATAGCTTCTTCTCCCTTAAACGAGAAGACAAAGAAATCGATGCAAGAACCAGCACTCACCTCCCTCAGGTCAGGTCTTGCTTCCAGCCTGTGTTTCCTGCAAAGGAAACGGATAAAAAGGGGAGGTCTCTGGCCCTTGGTACGCTAGGTGGAGAGACAGCTTTCCCGCCCAGGGTGGAACCGCCCCACTGAGATTAACATTGGGTGGCTCCCAACCACTGACCTCAGGCTCACCTTGACATCACCTGGGCCCCATCCTCAGGGATTTGGCTGTAATTGGGCTTCAGTGGGCTTTGGAGAATTACGGCTTGCTGAATCTCCCCAGGTGAGATTAATGTGCAATTCCCTTCCTAGACCACCCGGGCCAGGTGTGATAGGCGACAGAACAGGAAATACACATTTTGGGTTTTGCAGGGTACCTGGCTCCCAGCTTTAAAAACTCTTGTAGAGAAAAAAAATTAAACAAAAATAAATAAAAATTAAAAAAAAAGAGGACAAAAACTCCCGTGACTTCCTAAGTTACAAATACAATAAGTCTACTTTGTGGCCAACTGTGGTGCCTCCTGCCTATAAATCCCAGCAGGCTGAGAGGCCTAGGCCAGTGGATCCCTAGGGGCCAGGAGTTTGATACCAGCCTAGGCAACATAGCAAGATGCCATCTCTTCAAAAATATTTAATAATTAGCCATGCATAGGCTGGGCGTGGTAGCTCATGCCTGTAGTCCCAGCAATTTGGGAAGCCGAGGCGGGTGGATCACCTGAGGTCAGGAGTTGGAGACCAGACTGGCCAACGTGGTGAAACTCTGTCTCTACTAAACATACAAAAAATTAGCCAGGTGTGGTGGCAGGTGCCTGTAATCCCAGCTACTCGGGAGGCTGAGACAGGACAATCACTTGAACTAGGGAGGTGGAGGGTGAGTGAGGCACGATCACGCCATTGCACTCCAGCCTGGGTGACAAGAGCAAGACTGTCTCAAAAACAAAAACAAAAAAATTAGCCATACATGATGGGCTGCACCTGTAATCCCAGCTATTCAGGAGGCTGAGGTGGGAGGATCACCTGAGCTCAGGAGTTTGAGGCTGCAGTGAGCTGTGACTGGCCATCTCACTCCAGCCTAGGCCACAGAGTGAGACCCAGTCTCAAAAAAATAAATAGATAACTGATATTTAATTTTTTTTTTTGGATGGAGTCTTGCTCTGTGGCCCAGGCTGGAGTGCAGTGGTGCAATCTCCATTCTTGCAACCTCTGCCTTCCAGGTTCAAGCAATTCTGATGCCTCAGCTTCCCAAGTAGCTGGGACTGCAGGCACATGCCACCATGCCCAACTAATTTTTTGTATTTTTAGTAGAGACAGGGTTTCACCATATTGGTCAGGCTGGTCTCAAACTCCTGATGTCAGGTGATTACAGGCATGAGCCACCGCACCTGGCCTAAAATTGTTTTTAAATAAAACAGTGTATGTTGTGGAAAGCATTCAGCACAGAATTTTGGTAGTTTAAACTGTTAATTTAATGGAAGCAAATGGTCCCACAAATGAAGATGTATATATCAGTTGCAGCATGCCATCTATAGAAATAGGCACTATGGAGGCCTGGCATGGTGGCTCACACCTGTAATCCCTGCACTTTGGAAGGCTGAGGCAGGTGGATCATCTGAGGTCAGCAGTTCGAGACCAACCTGGGCAACATGGCAAAAAACCCCTGGCTACTAAAAATAAAGAATTAGCCAGGCATGGTGGTGTGCACCTGTAATCCCAGCTACTCAGGAGGCTGAGGCGTAAGAATTGATTGAACCTGGGAGTTGGAGGTTGCCGTGAGCCGAGATTGCACCACTGCGCTCCAGCCTGGGCGACAGAGACTCCATCTTTAAAAAAAAAAAAAAAAGATGGCCAGGCGCAGTGGTTCATGAATGTAATCCCAGCACTTTGGGAGGCTGAGGCGGGAGGACTGCCTGAGTCCAGGAGTTCAAGACCAGCCTGGGCAATATGGCGAGACTCCCTCTCTGAAGAAAAAGAAAATAAAAACAATAAAAATAAATTATATTCTAGCTGACAAAAAGAGAGAGAGAGTATATTTTGTTAAAACATTTGGCCTTTAGTCCTAGAGCAGCTATGGAGAGATAAACATGAAAGAGGTATCTCTTGTTATACATACCCAGGCCCTGCAACCACACCTGAGTTTATGTAAATGAGGTGACTTTTGGAAAGCCCCTAGATAACCCCACAAGTGCGAGGGACTGGCTGCCAAAGAAACCGTCAGTGATTAGACATTGGGAACTTTCAGCCCCAGGCTCCAAGTGGCCTCCAGGGAGGGGAGAGGGGCTGAAGGTTGAATTGATTATGAACTGCCAGCTATGTGATCAGCATTGCCCACCTAAGGAATCCTCCATAAACCCCAAAAGAAAAGGGTTTGGGCCGGGTGTCCTGTGGCTCATGCCCGTAATCCCAACGCTTTGGGAGGCCTAGATGGGAGGATTGCTTGAGCCCAAGAATTCTAGGCCAGTCTGGACAAAATAGCAAGACCCTGGCTCTACAAAAAATAAAAAATTAGCCAGGCGTGGTGGAGTGCACCTGTAGACCCAGCTACTCAGGAGGCTGAGGCATGAGAATCACTTGAACGCAGGAGACAGAGGCTGCAGTGAGCTGAGATAGCGCCACTGCACTCCAGCCTGGGTGACGGAGTTAGACTGTCTCAAAAAAAAAAAAAACCAGGAAAGAGTTCAGAAGAGCTTCCTGGTTGGTGAACCCGGGTGCATTCGTGTGCCAGGACTGTGGTGCACCCCAGGTCCACAGGGACAGAAGCTCCTGCACTTCGGACTCCTCTAAACCTCCCCCTACGCATCTCTTCCTTGGCTGTTCATTTGTATCCTTTAAAATATGAAAGGGCGGGTTGCCCCTCCACACCTGTGGGCATTTCTCGTTAGGTGGAAGGAGAGACTTGGAAAAGAAAGAGACACAGACAAAGTATAGAGAAAGAAATAAGGGGACCCAGGGGACCAGCATTCAGCATATGGAGGATCCCGCCAGCTTCTGAGTTCCCTTAGTATTTATTGATCATTTTGGGGTGTTTCTCAGAGAGGGGGATGTGGCAGGGTCATAGGATAATAGTGGAGGGAAGGTCAGCAGATAAACACGTTAACAAAGGTCTCTGCATCATAGACAAGGTAAAGAACTAAGTGCTGTGCTTTAGATATGCATACACATAAACATCTCAATGCCTTACGGAGCAGTATTGCTGCCCGCATGTCCCACCTCCAGCCCTAAGGCGGTTTTCCCCTATCTCAGTATATGGAATATACAATCGGGGTTTACACCCATACATTCCATTGCCCAGGGACGAGCAGGAGACAGATGCCTTCCTCTTGTCTCAACTGCAAAGAGGTGTTCCTTCCTCTTTTACTAATCCGCCTCAGCACAGACCCTTTACTGGTGTCGGGCTGAGGGACGGTCAGGTCTTTCCCTTCCCATGAGACCATATTTCAGGCTATCACATGGGGAGAAACCCTGGACAATACCTGGCTTTCCTAGGCAGAGGTCCCTGCGGCCTTCCGCAGTGTTTGTGTCCCTGGGTACTTGAGATTAGGGAGTGGTGATGACTCTTAAGGAGCATGCTGCCTTCAAGCATTTGTTTAACAAAGCACATCTTGCACAGCCCTTAATCCATTTAACCCTGAGTGGACACAGCACATGTTTCAGAGAGCACAGGGTTGGGGGTAAGGTCATAGATTAACAGCATCTCAAGGCAGAAGAATTTGTCTTAGTACAGAACAAAATGAAGTCTCCTGTGTCTACTTCTTTCTACACAGACACAGTTACAATCTGATCTCTCTTTCTTTTCCCCACAAAAATATCCTTTGTAGACCAGGCACAGTGGCTCAGGCCTGTAATCCCAGCACTTTGGGAGGCTGAGGCAGATGGATCACTTAAGGTCAGGAGTTTGAGACCAGCCCAGCCAGCATGGTGAAACTGCGTCTCTACAAAAATACAAAAATTAGCGGGGCATGGTAGTTCAACGCCTGTAATCCCAGCTACTCGAGAGGCTGAGGCAGAATTGTTTGAACCCGGGAGGCAGAGGCAGAGGTTGCAGTGAGCCGAGGTCGCACGACTGCACTCCAGCCTGGGTGCAACAGAGTGAGACTCCATCTCAAAAAACAAAAAACAAAAACAAAAACAAAACAAAAAATGAAAACCCACTTTTAGTAAAAAAAATAAAAATGAAAAAATGTGAATCAGGCTGCACTCTGGCCCACATCCTGGCTGCTGTGTATCACGTGGCTCTAGACACTGCACTTTTGCCTCCTCATCATTGCTGTAGATAGGATTTCTGACAGCAGGGTCATTAGACGAATTTTTTTTTTTTTTTGAGACGGAGTCTCGCTCTGTCGCCCAGGCTGGAGGGCAGTGGCGCAATCTCTGCTCACTGCAAGCTCCGCCTCCCGGGTTCACACAATTCTCCTGCCTCAGCCTCCCGAATAGCTGGGACTACAGGTGCCTGCAACCATGCCTGGCTAATTTTTTTTGTATTTTTAGTAGAGACGCGGTTTCACCATGTTAGCCAGGATGGTCTCGATCTCCTGACCTCGTGATCCTCCCGCCTAGGCCTCCCAAAGTGCTGGGATTACAGGCGTGAGCCACCGCGCCCGGCCCCATTAGACAAATTTGTATCTGCACGGTTCCTACAGATAAACTCTGGGACATTAGAATTATAAGGCTTTTGTTTAAGGATGGTTTCAGATGTTTTTCAGACCTTGAATTCCAGCCAAATAGCTGACACTAACCAGTTTGAAGACCCCAGTGAGGAATGGGATCAGCATGAGAACACTGCGTCTTCATGCCCCTGTCTCCGCCAGCAGTCAGCATGGCCACACTCTGGCCCACACCAAAACACTTAAAAACCCTAGCCCCGGCCGGGTGCAGAGGCTCACACCTGTAACTCCAGCACTTTGGGAGGCCAAGGCAGGTGAATCACCTGAGGTCAAGAGTTCAAGACCAGCCTGGCCAACATAGTGAAACCCCGTTTCTACTAAAAACACAAAAAATTAGTCGGGCGTGGTAGCGGGTGCCTGTAACCCCAGCTACTCAGGAGGCTGAGGCAAGAGAATTACTTGAACCTGGGAGGCGGAGGTTGCAGTGAGCAAAGATCCTGCCACTGCACTCCAGCCTGGGTGACAAAGCAAAACTCCATCTCAAAAAAAAAAAAAACCCTAGACCCAAACTTCTGGGGGAGATGGATTGGAGGTTTCCTCCCATCTCCTCATTCCTCAGCCCTGTGATTAAACTTCCTTCTCTTCTGCAACACAGTGACCCGGCAAATTGACTCACAGCGTGCATTGGGCAACGGACCTACTGTCAGAGGCGTGTAACCAGGGCAACTCCATCTTGAATAGGAGCTGACTAAAATAAGGCTGAGACCTACCGGGCTGCATTCCCAGACAGTTAAGGCATTCTCCAAAAAAAACAAAAATGACAGGCACGGTGGCCCAGCACTTTGGGAGGCCGAGGCGGGTGGATTACCCGAAGTAGAGTTTGAGACCAGCCTGGCCAACACGGTGAAACCCCGTCTCTACTGAAAATACAAAAATTAGTCAGGCGTGGTGGCTCGTGCCTGTAATCCCACCTACTTGCGAGGCTGAGGCAGGAGAATCGCTTGAGCCGGGGAGGCGGAGGTTGCAGTAAAAAGAAAAAAAAAAGCATTCTAAGTCACAGGATGAGATAAGTCAGCACAAGATACAGGTCATAAGGACCTTGCTGATAACACAGGTAGCAATGTAGCAGGACCAGCCACAGACAAAACTCCTCAGACACCGAGTTAAAGAAGAAAGGGGTTTATCCGGCCAGGGGCATCGGCAAGACTCCCGTCTCAAGAGCCGAGATCCCCAAGTGAGCAATTCCTGTCCCTTTTAAGGGCTCACAACTCTAAGGGGGTGTGCGTGAGAGGGTCGTGATCGACTGAGCAAGCAGGGGGTACGTGACTGGGGGCTGCATGCACTGGTAATCAGATCCAAACAAAACAGGATAGGGATTTTCACAGTGCTTTTCTATACAATGTCTGTAATCTATAGATAACCGATTAGGTCAGGGGTCAATCTTTAACTACCAGGCCCAGGGTGTGGCGCCGGGCTGTCTGCTTGTGGATTTCATTCCTGGGCCGCGGGGCTGTCTGCTTGTGGATTTCATTCCTGGGGCGCGGGGCTGTCTGCTTGTGGATTTCATTTCTGCCTTTTAGTTTTTACTTTTTCTTTCTTTGGAGGTGGAAATTGGGCATAAGACAATATGAGGGGTGGTCTCCTCCCTTAGCAATAAAGAATCCAGCCAGGCCGGGCGCGGTGGCTCACACCTGTAATCCCAGCACTTTCGGGGGCTGAGGCGGGTGGATCACACGGTCAGGAGATTGAGACCATCCTGGCTAACACGGTGAAACCATCTCTACTAAAAAAAAAAAATACAAAAAATTAGCTGGGCGTGGTGGCGGGCGCCTGTAGTCCCAGCTACTCGGGAGGCTGAGGCAGGAGAACGGCGTGAACCCGGGTGATGGAGCTTGCAGTGAGCGGAGATCGCGCCACTGCACTCCAGCCTGGGTGACAGAGCGAGACTCCGTCTCAAAAAAATAAAAAATAAATAAAAATAAATAAAGCATCCAGTCAAACTCCATCAAAACCAAGATAGTGACGAGAGTAACCTCTGGTTGTCCTCACCGCTCCACTCCCAGCAGCCCCATGACAGTTTACAAATGCCATGGCAATGTCAGGAAGTTACCCTATGCTGTCTAAAAAGGGGAGGCATGAATAATCCACCCCTTGTTTAGCATATCCATAGAAATAACCATAAAAATGGGCAACCGGCCGGGCGCGGTGGTCACGCCTGTAATCCCAGCACTTTGGGAGGCCGAGGCGGGTGGATCATGAGGTCAGGAGATTGAGACCATCCTGGCTAACACGGTGAAATCCCATCTCTACTAAAAAAAAATACAACTAATTAGCTGGGTGCGGTGGCGGGCGCCTGTAGTCCCAGCTACTCGGGAGGCTGAGGCAGGAGAATGGCCTGAACCCAGGAGGCGGAGCTTGCAGTGAGCCGAGATAGTGCCACTGCACTCTGGCCTGGTGAAAGAGCGAGACTCCGTCTCAAAAAAAAAAAAAAAAAAAAAAAAGGGCAACCGAGGCCGGACGTGGTGGCTTACGCCTGTAATCCCAACACTTTGGGAGGCCGAGGCGGGCATATCACCTGAGCTCAGGAGGTCAAGATCAGCCTGGCCAACATGGTGAAACCCCATCTCTTACTAAAAATACAAAAATTAGCCAGACGTGATGGCAGGCACCTGTAATCCCAGCTACTCAGGAGGCTGAGGCAGGAGAATCACTTGAACTGAAGTGATTCAAGGCAGAGGTTTCAGTGAGCCAAGATCACGCCACTGCACTCCAGCCTGGGCGACAAGAGCAAAACTCCATCTCAAAAAAAATAAGGGCAACTAGCAGCCCTATGGGCTGCTGTCTATGGAGTAGCTATTCTTTTACTCCTTCACTTTCCTAATAAGCTTGCTTCCACTTTACTCCATAGTCTCGCCCTGAATTCTTTCTGGTATGAGATTCAAGAACCCACCATGCCCAGCTCGTCCTTACTTGCTTTTAAAAAATATCATTGGTGGCCGGGCGCGGTGGCTCACGCCTGCAATCCCAGCACTTTGGGAGGCCAAGGCTGGCGGATCACCTGAGGTCCGAAGTTTGAGACCAGCCTGACCAACATGGAGAAACCCCGTCTCTACTAAAATACAAAAAAATTAGCTGGGTGTGGTGGTGCGTGCCTGTAATCCCAGCTACTCAGGAGGCTGAGGCAGGAGAATCACTTGAACCCGGGTGGCAGAGGTTGCAGTGAGCCAAGATCATGCCATTGCACTCCAGCCTGGGCAACAAGAGTGAAACTCCGTCTCAAAAATAAATAAATAAAATCATTGGAATAATTTTCTTCTTTAGGAAGAGCAGCCTTGGGCCAGGCATGGTGGCACATGCCTGGAATCCCCGAACTTTGGGCAGCCCAGGTAGGTGGATTGCTTGAGTTCAAGAGTTCCAGACCAGCCTGGACAACATGATGAAACCTCTTCTTGATCAAATATACAGAATTTCGACTGAGCACAGTGGCTGTAAGCCCAGCATGTTGGGAAGCTGAGGTGGGTGAATCATTTGAGGTCAGACCAGCCTGACTAACATGGCGAAACCCCATCTCTACAAAAAATACAAAAGTTAGCCAGGAGGTCGTGGGCGCCTGTGGTCCCAGCTACTCGGGAGGCTGAGGCAGGAGAATGACGTGAATCCCGGAGTCGTAGGTTGCAGTGAGCCAAGATCGTGCCACTGCACTTCAGCCTGGGCGACACAGCAAGACTGAGGTTGCAGTGAGCTGTGATCCTCAACCTCCTGGGTTCAAGGGATTGTCGAGCCTCAGCCTCCCAAGTAGCTGGGATTATAGACATTCGCTCCCATGCCTGGCTAATTTTTGTATTGCAAAAATGCACTCCAGCCTAGATGACAGGACTGCACTCCAGCCTGGATGACAGAGCAAGACTGTGTCTCAAAAATAAATAAATAAATAAATAAATAGCCAACTGTGATCGTGCATGCCTGTAGTCCCAGCTACTCAGGAGGCCAAGGCAGGAGGATCACTTGAGACTGGGAGGTCATGGCTACAGTGAGCCATGATCTCGCAACTGCACTCCAGCCTGGGCAACAGAGGGAGAGAAAGGAAGGAAGGAGGGAAGGAGGGAAGGAGGGAAGGGAAGGAGGGAAAGGAAGTCAGTCTTGTGGGACAAGGAAGGAAGGAAGGAAGTCAGTCAGTCTTGTGGGACTCAGCCCTGAACCTTTGGGATCTGATGCTGTCCCCAGGTAGGGAGTGTCAGAACTAAATCAAAGGAGAGGACACCCAGCTGGTCTCTGCTGGAGAACTGGTTGTTGGTGGGGAGAAACATACATTTTTGGTGAAGTATTCTGTGTTGAGTGTGAAAGTAGGAAAAACAGGACTGGGTATGGTGGTTCATGCCTGTCATTCCAGGATTTTGGGAGGCCAAGGCAGGCGGATCACTTGAGGTCAGGACTTTGAGACCACCCTGGTGAACATGGCAAAACCCCATCTCTACTAAAAAAAAATACAAAAATTAGCTGGGCGCGGTGGCAGGTGCCTGTAATACCAGCTACTCGGGAGGCTGAGGCAGGAGAATCACTTGAACCCGGGAGGCGGAGGTTGCAGTGAGCTGAGATTGTGCCTTTGCACTCCAGCCTGGGAGACAGAGCAAGACTCTCCCTCAAAAAAAAAAAAAGGCCGGGCGCAGTGGCTCACGCCTATAATATCAGCACTTTGGGAGGCCGAGGCAGGTGGATCACTGACACCCAACACCACGCCTTCTAATTTTTTGCATTTTTAGTAGAAACGGGGTTTCACCATGTTGGCCAGGCTTGTCTCGAACTCCTGTCCTCTGGTGATCCACCTGCCTTGGCCTCCCAAAGTGCTGGAATTACAGGCGTGAACCCAGCAACTTTTCCCCCTTTTATCATACCTTAATTTGCCTCCACCACCCCCAGAAGCTCCAAGTCTCTACGCCTTTTCATTTATGTATGTATGTATTTATTTATTTATTTATTTATTTTATTTTGAGACAGGGTCTCCCTCTATCTCCCAGGCTGCAGTGCAGTGGCGTGATCTTGGCCCACTGCAACCTCCACCTCCCGGGTTCAAGTAATCCTCCTGTCTCAGCCTCCCAAGTAGCTGGGATTACAGGGCACACCACCACACCTGGCTAATTTTTGTATTTTTAGTGGAGACTGGGTTTCACCCTGTTGTCCAGGCTAGTCTCAAACTCCCGACGTCAGGTGATCCACCCATTTCGGTTCCCAAAGTGTTGAGATTACAGACCGTGAGCCACTGGGACGGACACCCCTACTCCTTTCTTCTTCTTCTTCTTTTTTTTTTTTTTTTTGAGATGGAGTCTCCCTTTGAAGCCCAGGCTGGAGTACAATGGTGCGATCTTAGCTCACTGCAGTTTCCTCCTCCCGGGTTCAAGTGATTCTCCTGCCTCAGCCTCCGGAGTAGCTGGGATTACAGGCACACACCACCACACCAGCTAATTTTTGTATTTTTAGCAGAGATGGGGTTTCACCATGTTGGCCAGGCTGGTCTCAAACTCCTGACCTCAGGTGATCCACCCACCTTGGCCTCCCAAACTGCTGGGATCACAGGCGTGAGCCACTGCACCCTACACTCTTATACTCCTTTCTGTAGCTCAGGCAGCTAGATGAGCTTCAATCATCTGGCCCTTCCTCCAGTCTCACATTTTTGTGGGACTCCTGTGCATACATAATTGAATCTGGTTTTTCTTCTGTCAAACTGTTTTGTGTCAATGTAATTCATAGCCCATCCAAAGAACCTAGGAGGGTGGAGGGAATCCATTTTCTCTCCTCCACACTGGAGGGCCATGGAGCCCAAGAGTTCAAGACTGGCCCGGTGTACAAAGTGAGACCCAGTCTCTATTTAAAAAAGATGGGGAGGGGGCCGGGCACGGTGTCTCACGCCTGTAATTCCAGCACTTTGGGAGGCCCAGGTGGGTGGATCACCTGAGGTCAGGAGTCCGAGACTAGCCTGGCCAAGGTGGTGAGACCGTGTCTTTACTAAAAATACAAAATTAGCTTGGTATGGTGGCAGGAGCCTGTAATCCCAGCTACTTGGAAGGCTAGGGCAGGAGAATCGCTTGGTTTGGGATTTTCTCCCTGAGGCACTTGCTATCTCCAGGATTATGGGTCTCAGGTGAAAGAAAGACAAAGAAGGAGAGAGAGACAGAGAGGGACAGGGAAAGAGAATTTCAGACTTATCTAACATTGACACTTAGGAGAAGTAGGGAGAAAGAGGTGGGAAAATAAAGTGGCTAGGTAAAAATGAACATGTCAGTAACAATAATAGCATTAACAATAACTAGTATTGCCGGGTGCAGTGGCTCACGCCTCTAATCCCAGCACTTTGGGACGCCGAGGTGGGCGAATCACAAGGTCAGGAGTTCAAGACCAGCCTGGCCAACATGGTGAAACCCTGTCTCTACTAAAAATACAAAAAGTTAGCTAGCTGGGCATAGTGGTGCATGCCTGTAATCCCAGCTACTCTGGAGGCTGAGGCAGGAGAATCGCTTGAACCCGGGAGGCAAAGGTTGCAGTGAGTCAAGATCAGGCCACTGCACTCCAGCCCAAGGGACAGAGTGAGACTCTGTCTCAAATAATAATAATAATAATAACTAGTGGCCAGGCACAGTGGCTCACGCCTGTAATCCCAGTGTAGCAGGACGAGCCACAGACAAAAACCTCTCAGACACCGAGTTGTAGAAGGAAGGGCTTTATTCAGCTGGGAGCATCGGCAAGCTACTGTCTTAAAATCCAAGCTCCTCGAGTGCACAGTTTCTGTCCCTTTTAAGGGCTCACAACACTAAAGACTGCGCATGAAAGGGTCATGATTGAGCAATCTAGGGGATACATAACAGGGGTTTCGTGCACTGCTGGTCAGAGAGAAAGAATAGGGCAGGGAGTTTCACAGTGTTCTTCTATACAATGCCTGGAATCTATGGATAACATCGGGTTCTAAGTCATGAGTTGATTTTTATCTACTAGGTTTACGCCAGGCAGGCCCAGGCCTGGTTTCGGGTCTGGTTTTGGGTCTGGTGCCTGGCGCCGGGCTACCTGCCTTTGGTTTCACTTCCTTGTTTTTTTCTTTTTCTTTTTTTTTTTTTTTGAGACAGAGTCTTGCTCTGTCGCTAAGGCTGGAGTGCAGTGGCACAATCTCGGCTCACTGCAAGCTCCGCCTCCTGGATTCAAGCAATTCTGCTGCCTCATCCTTCCGAGTAGCTGGGATTACAGGCGCACGCCACCATGCCCGGCTAATTTTTGTATTTTTAATAGAGACGGGGTTTCACCATGTTGGCCAGGCTGGTCTCAAACTCCTGACCTTGTGATCCACCCGCCTTGGCCTCCCAAAGTGCTGGGATTACAGGCGTGAGCCACCGTGCCCGGCCTCCTTGTTTTTTTTCTAAAACAAGTACTGAGTATAAAACAATATAAAACAATATGAGACGGTTTCTCTCTTCCCTCACCAGCACTTTGGGAGGCTGAGGCAGGTGGATCACAAGGTCAGAGTGGATAGCACTTTAGGAGGTTGAGGTGGGAGGATCCCTTGAGCCCAGGAGCTCAAGTCCAGCCTGGGCAACATAGCAAGACCCCCATTTCCAATTTTAGTGTATGTGCTGCCAAAGCAAATACTCTGAGACCCTGTTTCTACAAAAAATAAAAAAATTAAAATTAGTGCTTGGAAAAAAAAATTAGTGCTTGACCAGGAGGCAAGCACACCTCCTCATCCTCTCATGGATGTCTGTCTGTAGAAAGTAAATGGAGACAGCTTCATTTTACCCAACTGCTCCGTTTTAGGTCCGCTCCTGAGCTTCTGTTGTTCCCAGCCATGCAACCCTGGGAGCCGACTCCCGGCTGCAGAGCCTTGTCAGAAGCAGGCAATGTACACAGAGACCCAAGGCCTGGTGTAGACAGGCTTTCACAGACCTGGGCATTTTGTTGAATTGTTTTTGAATTGTGGTTTCTTATCAGTTCATCCGATACTCTGTTCTAACCACGTAGTTCCTCTTTTGGATCTCCAAACCCCTTTGCAGGTTCCATCTACCCGAACCAAACTCACTTATTCCAACAGAAGTCTGGTGTTTCTTGTTTTTTTTGTTTGTTTGTTTCTTTCGTTTTGTTTTTTGAGATGTTGTCTCCCTCTATCACCCAGGCTGGAGTGCAGTGGCGAGATCTCAGCTCACTGCAACCTCTGCTTCCCGGGTTCAAGCAATTCTCCTCCCTCAGCCTCCTGGGTAGCTGGGATTACAGGTGCCTGCCGCCACACCCAGCTAACTTTTGTATTTTTAGTAGAGACGGGATTTCACCATGTTGGCCAGGCTAGTCTCGAGCTCCTGACCTCAAGTGATCCACCCATCTCAGCCTCCCAAAGTGCTGGGATTACAGCCTTAAGCCACCGCGCTCAACCAGAAGTCTGTTTAAATCCATCCTTCTCCCCAGCCACCCATGAGTTATGTGACCTTGGGGTTGCTACTTAACATTTCAGTCTCAATTTCCTCAATAGAACAAAAGTTAGAAGAATTGTAACAAAAGATAGTTTTATTTTTATTTTTATTTTTATTTTTTGAGATGGAGTCTTGCTCTGTCACCTAGGCTGGAGTGCAGTGGTGTGATGGTGGCTCACTGCAAGCTCCGCCTCCCGGATTCACGCCATTCTCCTGCCTCAGCCTCCCAAGTAGCTGGGACTACAGGCACCCGCCACCGTGCCCAGCTAATTTTTTTAATTTTTAGTAGAGACGGGGTTTCACCGTGTTAGCCAGGATGGTCTCGATCTCCTGACCTCGTGATCCGCTTGCCTCGGCCTCCCAAAGTGCTGGGATTACAGGCGTGAGCCACCATGCCCAGCACAAAAGATAATTTCTTAATCCCATGCATTTGAGTCTTAAAAAAATATTCTATATAATTCCAAGGTCAAAGAAGAAATAACAAAGGGCATTTTTAAAAATGCTAGAACTGAGTGGTGGTGAAATTGCTGTTGAAATGTGTTTGTTGCACTGATGGAAATTTATAAATGTAAATATTTATATTAAAATATAAAATAATGGGCCAGGCATAGTGGCTCACACCTGTAATCTCAGTACTTTGGGAGGCCAAGGCGGGAGGGCCATGGAGCCCAGGAGTTCAAGACCGGCCCGGTGTACAAAGTGAGACCCAGTCTCTAGTTAAAAAAGAGGGGGAGTGGGCCAGGCACAGTGTCTCACGCCTGTAATTCCAGCACTTTGGGAGGCCAAAGCAGGTGGATCACCCGAGGTCAGGAGTCCAAGACCAGCCCGGCCAAGGTGGTGAAACCCCGTGTCTACTAAAAATACAAAATTAGCTTGGTATGGTGGCGGGAGCCTATAATCCCAGCTAGGGCAGGAGAATCACTTGAACCCGGGAGGCAGAGGTTGCAGTGAGCCAAGATCATGCCACTGCACTCCAGCCTGGGCAACAACAGAGAGACTTCATCTCTAAATAAATAAATAAATAAATAAAAGAAAATACAAATTTTTTAAAAAAGGTACTGTGGCTGGGCGTGGTGGTTCACACCTGTAATCCCAGCACTTTGGGAAGCCGAGGCAGGTGGATCTCAGATCAGGAGTTCAAGAAGAGCCTGGCCAGCATGGTGAAAACCTATCTGTACTAAAAATTAGCCTGGCATGGTGGCAGGTGCCTGTAGGAGGCTGAGGCAAGAGAATTGCTTGAGCCCCGGAGGCAGAGGTTGCAGTGAGCCGAGACCACACCACTGCACTCCAGCCTGGGCAACAGAGCGAGAGTCTGTCTCAAAAAGGAAACAAAAAAAAAAGTACCTCCAAATTATGGTAGGGTGTCCATATTAAGAAGGTAGAAAAAGGTCGGGGGAAGTGGATGCCTGTAATCCCAGAACTTTGGGAGGCTGAGGCGGGTGGATCACCTGAGGTCAGGAGTTCAAGAACAGCCTGGCCAAAAGGGTATGGTGAAACCCCATCTCTACTAGAACTACAAAATTAGCCGGGCGTGGTGGTACATGCCTGTAATCCCAGCTACACAGGAGTCTGAGGCAGGAGAATCACAGGAAACCGGCAGGCAGAGGTTGCAGTGAGCTGAGATCGCGCCATTGCACTCCAGCCTGGGCGACAAGAGCAAAACTCCATCTCAAAAAAAAAAAAAAGAAAAAATGAAAAAGAATTTATTGAAATGTGCAGTCTGAAAACTGCTCCTGCACATTTTCATTCATCCTTCCTATTCCCTCCATCCCTCAATTTTTTTTTTTTTTTTGAGACAGAGTTTCGCTCTTGTTGCCCAGGCTGGAGTGCAATGGCACGATCTCAGCTCACTGCAACCTCTGCCTCCCAGGTTCCAGCCATTTTCCTGCCTCAGCCTCCAGAATAGCTGGAATTACAGGCATCTGCCACTACGCCTGGCTAATTTTTTGTGTATTTTTAGTAGAGATGGGATTTCACCATGTTGGTCAGGCTGATCTCGAACTCCTGACCTCAGGTGATCCACCCGCCTCGGCCTCCCAAAGTGCTGGGATTACAGGCATGAATCACCACGCCCGGCCCCTCATTTTCTTTTCTTTCTTTCTTTCTTTTTTGTTTGTTTGTTTTTGAGACAGAGTCTTGCTCTGTCACCCAGGCTGGAGTGCAGTGGCGCGATCTCAGCTCACTGCAAGCTCCGCCTCCCGGGTTCACGCCATTCTCCTGCCTCAGCCTCCCGAGTAGCTGGGACTACAGGCGCCCGCCACCACGCCCGGCTAATTTTTTGTATTTTTAGTAGAGACGGGGTTTCACCGTGTTAGCCAGGATGGTCTCCATCTCCTGACCTCGTGATCCGCCCGCCTCGGCCTCCCAAAGTGCTGGGATTACAGGCGTGAGGCACCACACTGGGCCCCCTCACTTTCTTATTCTTTCTAGGATAGGCAACTGAGCGCGGCAGTGAAGAGCTGGGCTTCCGGAAGCTGACAGCTGTTTGTGATCTTCAAGACCTCAGACAGGTTTTCTAAATATGCCTTGCCTTCATTTTCTCAAGGAAAGTGAAAAATGGGTAGGATCATGGCAATCACTACTGTGTAGCAATGTTTAGAGGACTTAATAAGTAAACACAGGGTCAAGCATGGTGGCTCACACCGGAAATCCCAGCACTTTGGGAGGCCGTGGTGGGAAGATTGCTTAAGCCCATGGGGTTGAGACCAGCCTGGGCAACATAGTGAGACCTCCATCTCTATAAAAAATACAAAAATCTAGTCAGGCGTGATGGCGTATGCCTGTAGCCTTCAGTAAGCTATGATTGTGCCACTGCACACCAGCCTAGGCGACAGAGTGAGACCCTGTCTCAAAAAGAAAAAACGAAAAGAAATATAGATGTACATATACATATGTTGGTTCTAAAACATGAAAAAGGCTGGGCGCGGTGGTTCGTGCCTGCAACCCAAGCACTTTGGGAGGCCGAGGCGGGCGGATCACGAGGTCAAGAGTTTGAGACCAGCCTGGCCAACATAGTGAAACCCCATCTCTACTAAAAATACAAAAAAAAGGCTAGGCGCAGTGGCTCATGCCTGTAATCCTAGCACTTTGGGAGGCCGAGGTGAGCAGATTACCTGAGGTTGGGAGTTCAAGACCACCCTGTCCAACATGGTGAAACCCCATCTCTACTAAAAATAAGAAAATTAGCCGGGTACAGTGGCACGCGCCTGTAATCCCAGCTATTCAGGAGGCTGAGGCAGGAGAATCGCTTGAACTCTGGAGGCGGAGGTTGCAGTGAGCCAAGATTGCGCCACTGCACTCCAGCCCGGGCGACAGTGCCAGACTCAGTCTCAGAAAAAAAAAAAGCAAAACAAACAAAGAAACATGAAAAAAAGCTATAAAACCCAACTTTTTTCTTTTTTTTTTTGAGACGGAGTCTCACTCTGTCGCCCAGGGTGGAGTGCAGTGGTGCGGTCTCGGCTCACTGCAACCTCCGCCTCCTGGGTTCAAGCAATTCTCTGCTTCAGCCTCCCAAGTAGCTGGGATTACAGGCACCCGCCACCACGCCCGACTAATTTTTTGTATTTTTAGTTGAGACGGGGTTTCATCATCTTGGCCAGGCTGGTCTTGAAGTCCTGACCTCGTGATCCACCCGCCTTGGCCTCCCAAAGTGCTGGAATTACAGGCGTGAGCCACCGCGCCCGGCCAAAACCCAACTTTTTAGTCTTATTTATATGGTGTTTTTTTTTTTTTTTTTTTTTTTGAGATGGAGCCTTGCTCTGTCGCCCAGGCTGGAGTGCAGTGGCGCGATCTCGGCTCACTGCAAGCTCCGCCTCCCGGGTTCACGCCATTCTCCTGCCTCAGCCTCCCGAGTAGCTGGGACTACAGGTGCCCGCCACCACGCCCGGCTAATTTTTTGTATTTTTAGTAGAGACGGGGTTTCACCGTGTTAGCCAGGATGGTCTCGATCTCCTGACCTCGTGATCCACCTGCCTCGGCCTCCCAAAGTGCTGGGATTACAGGCGTGAGCCACTGTGCCCGGCTATATGTTTACAAAATTAATACTGCCAGCCAGGCACGGTGGCTCACGCCTGTAATCCCAGCACTTTAGGAGGCTGAGGCTGGCAGATCACCTGAGGTCAGGAGTTTGAGACCAGCCTGGCCAGCATGGCAAAACCCCGTCTCTATTGAAAAAAATACAAAAATTAACCAGGCGTTGTGGCGCATGCTTGTAATCTCAGCTACTCGGGAGGCTGAGGCAGGGGAATCACTTGAAGCCGGCAGGCGGAGGCTGCGGGGAGCCGAGATCGTGCCGTTGCACTCCAGCCTGGGGAACAGAGCAAGACTCCATTAAAAATAAAATAATAATAATACTGTGAATGTGAAACTGATGAACTTGGTGCTTTTCATGCGTCTCATAGTTGACGTGTCATTGATATTTCACTTGAAATACGGTTGGATTTTTATTAATAATATACCTGGGGTGATGGGAGAAGGTAGCCAATCACAGCTGAGGCTTCTAAGCGGTGATTCTCAGCCTCGGCCGCAATCACAATTATCTGGGACTCTCGAAAGAACTCCAGGGTCTGGGCAGTCCCAGTGTAACCAATCAAGCAGAATCTCTAGGCGTTCGTGCTTTGAAATGAGGCTCCACATAGGTAAGTTTAACAGGCAGTCAAGATGGAGGACCACAGGTGGAGATCGGGAAGCTCAGGTGAAGGACCGCCCCCCAACACCCCCCGCCCCCAAAAGACCTCTCAGTAATTCCGGTGGATACAGGAAGTGCTCAGCAACGATTACGCCCCGAGGGCCAATCACAGGGCTGCGGCCGAGAAAGAAGCCTTAATAGAGCTTTCTCAACCTGCAGCCCTCATCTCCGCCGGCGAGTAGGGCCAGGTGTTGGGAGGTGAGTAGCTCTCCGGCAGCTCTGCAACTTCATTTCTTTATTTCTCCATTCCACAGTTGGTAAAATTTCTCCTTTTATTTCATATATTTTTTTTCTGAGACGGAGTCTCGCTCTGTCGCCCAGGCTGGAGTGCAGTGGCGCGATCTCTGCTCACTGCAAGCTCCGCCTCCCGGGTTCACGCCATTCTCCTGCCTCAGCCTCCCGAGTAGCTGGGACTACAGGCGCCCGCCACCACGCCCGGCTAATTTTTTGTATTTTTAGTAGGTGGCTCACGCCTGTAATCCCAGCACTTTAGGAGGCTGAGGCTGGCAGATCACCTGAGGTCGGGAGTTTGAGACCAGCCTGGCCAGCATGGCAAAACCCCGTCTCTATTGAAAAAAATACAAAAATTAACCAGGCGTTGTGGCGCATGCTTGTAATCTCAGCTACTCGGGAGGCTGAGGCAGGGGAATCACTTGAAGCCGGCAGGCGGAGGCTGCGGGGAGCCGAGATCGTGCCGTTGCACTCCAGCCTGGGGAACAGAGCAAGACTCCATTAAAAATAAAATAATAATAATACTGTGAATGTGAAACTGATGAACTTGGTGCTTTTCATGCGTCTCATAGTTGACGTGTCATTGATATTTCACTTGAAATACGGTTGGATTTTTATTAATAATATACCTGGGGTGATGGGAGAAGGTAGCCAATCACAGCTGAGGCTTCTAAGCGGTGATTCTCAGCCTCGGCCGCAATCACAGTTATCTGGGACTCTCGAAAGAACTCCAGGGTCTGGGCAGTCCCAGTGTAACCAATCAAGCAGAATCTCTAGGCGTTCGTGCTTTGAAATGAGGCTCCACATAGGTAAGTTTAACAGGCAGTCAAGATGGAGGACCACAGGTGGAGATCCGGAAGCTCAGGTGAAGGACCGCCCCCCAACACCCCCCGCCCCCAAAAGACCTCTCAGTAATTCCGGTGGATACAGGAAGTGCTCAGCAACGATTACGCCCCGAGGGCCAATCACAGGGCTGCGGCCGAGAGAGAAGCCTTATTAGAGCTTTCTCAACCTGCAGCCCTCATCTCCGCCGGCGAGTAGGGCCAGGTGTTGGGAGGTGAGTAGCTCTCCGGCAGCTCTGCAACTTCATTTCTTTATTTCTCCATTCCACAGTTGGTAAAATTTCTCCTTTTATTTCATATATTTTTTTTCTGAGACGGAGTCTCGCTCTGTCGCCCAGGCTGGAGTGCGGTGGCGCGATCTCGGCTCACTGCAAGCTCCGCCTCCCGGGTTCAGGCCATTCTCCTGCCTCAGCCTCCCGAGTAGCTGAGACTACAGGCACCTGCCACTATGCCCAGCTAATTTTTTTGTATTTTTAGTAGAGACGGGGTTTCACCATGTTGGCCAGGCTGGTCTCAGTCCGCCTCGGCCTCCCAAGGTGCCGGGATTACAGGCGTGAGCCACCGCGCCCAGCCTTTTTTTTTTTTTTTTTTTTTTTTTTCTTCTCTTTTTTGAGGGTCTTACTCTGTTTCCCAGGCTGGAGCGCTGTGGCAGGATCTCGGCTCACTGAACCCTTGACCTCTCAGGTTCAAGCAGTCCTCACGCCTCAGCCTTTGAAGTAGCTGGGACCGTGGGAGGGTGCCACCACATCTGTTCTGGCTAATAATATTATTATTACCACTGTTTGCAGAGACTCACTAGATGTAGGGTCTTAATATGTTGCCGAAGCTGGTCTCTAACTCCTGGGCTCAAGCGATCTTCCTGCCTCAGACTCCCAAAATTCTGGGATTATAGGCAGGTGCCACCGCGCCCGGCCTAAATCTTTTCTTCTGTTAGAAATTAAGTGGTTCTGCCTGTCTCAGTGGCTCACGCCTGTAATCGCAGCGCTTTGGGAGGCCGAGGCGGGAGGATCACCTGAGGTCGGGAGTTCGAGACCAGCCTGACCAACATGTAGAAACCCCATCTCTACTAAAAATATAAAATTAGGTGGGCGTGGTAGCGCATACTTGTAATCCTAGCTACTCAGGAGGCTGAGGCAGGAGAATCACTTGAACCCGGGAAGCGGAGGTTGCGGGGAGCCTAGATCATACCATTGCTCTCCAGCCTGCGCAGCAAGAGAGAAACTGTCTCAAAAAATAAAATAAAATAAAATTCAGTGGTTCTGACTGGGGAAAGAGTAGCAGATGCTTAGATCTAGAGAGACTCTAGTTAAGGTTGGCTCATAAGAGGATAGTTGTGTGTGCTTTTATTTCTGTTCTCTTGGGGGATTTAGGATAGAGCTATAGAGAGCTCCAAAAAAAAAAATATATTGGAACAGGTCAGATGCTGTGGTTGCTGTGTGTGGAGTCCTGGGCAGTGCTAAGGTTTTGTGTCTAATGAGTCCTCTTAACAAGAAGGTATTGTTTTTTATTCACTGAGGTGAGGGAGCCTCTTAGCATCATTCTAGTCCAGCTTCCGGACCTGAGTCTTATGCAAATACCTATGCCAGTTGCCATTCTCACGCTATTCACAGCTATCATATAAAGAGGTGTTATACCCTTTCTGTAAAGTTTTTGTTGCTACTGCTATTTTTTTTTTTTTTTTTTTGAGACAAAGTCTAGCTCTGTTTCCCAGGCTGGAGTACAGTGGCGCTATCTCAGCTCACTGCAACTTCCACCTCCCAGGTTCAAGCAATTCTCGTGCCTCAGCCTTCTAAGTAGCTGGGACTACAGCCGCCTGTCACCAACCTGGCTAATTTTCGTATTTTTAGTCGATATAGGGTTTCACTATGTTGGCCAGGCTGGTCTCAAGCTCCAGACCTCAGGTGATCCTCCCACCTTGGACTCCCAAAGTGCTGTGATTACAGGCGTGAGCCACCGCACCCGGCCCTGTTGTTTTTAAAATAGAGACAGGGTCTTAAGTTGCCAGGCTGGTCTGGAACTTCTGGACTGGAGTGATCACCCACCTGAGCTTCCCAAAGTGCGGGGATTGCAAGCGTCAGCCACCACCCCCAGTGTTGTGTTTTTGTTTGTTTTACCAGGCTGGAGTGCAGTGGTGCGATCACAGCTCACTGCAGCCTTAACTTCCCTGGCTCAGGTGATCCTCCCACCTCAGCCTCCTCAGTAGCTGGGACTACAGGTGCATGCCACTATGCCCAGCACAATTTTTTTTTTTTTTGTATTTTTTTGTAGAGACAGGGTTTTGCCATGTTGCCCAGGCTGGTCTCAAACTCCAAGCAATCCTCCCACCTTGGCTTCCCAAAGTGTTTGGGGTTCCAGGTGTGAGCCATGGCCCCCCGGCCAGCTTCAGTAAAGTAAAAGCCACACACCTGTGTCCTGAGACCAGGCTCCACCACTAAGTTATCTTTAAGCCTTTTTTTTTTTTGAGACAGTTTCACTCTTGTCGCCCCAGGCTGGAGTGCAGTGGCGCCATGTCAGCTCACCACAACCTCTGCCTCCCACTCCCAGGTTCAAGCGATTCTCCTGCCTCAGCCTCCCAAGTAGCTGGAACTACAGGCACCTGCCACCACGCCCGGCTAATTTTTTGTATTTTTAGTAGAGACGGGGTTTCACTGTGTTAGCCAGGATGGTCTCGATCTCCTGACCTCACGATCCGCCCGCCTCGGCCTCCCAAAGTGCTGGGATTGCAGGCGTGAGCCACCGCGCCCGGCTGTGTGTTTGCATTATCATATTCAGCCCAGTTTTCACGAAGTTTCTTGTCTCCTGGGTGATCCACGTAGCTCCCCACTTCCTTATCTGATCTATGCTTGTCCTTTCATTGTTGTGTTACTACTTTGCTATAATGAGAGAGTGTTTTCGCTTTATAGGTTAACTTTTAGAACCTGAGCAGCCCCTCAGGGAAAACCCTGACAGTAGCTGGTTATTTTGCAATTAGAAAAACTAGCTGGGCACTGAGGCAGGTGAATCACGAGGTCAGGAGTTCGAGACCAGCCTGGCCAACTTGGTGAAACCCCCCATCTCTACTAAAAATACAAAAAAATTAGCTGGGCACAGTGGTGAATGCCTGTAATCCCAGCTACTTGGGAGGCTGAGGCAGGAGAATTGCTTGAATCCGGGAGGCAGAGGTTGTAGTGAGCCGAGATTGCAGCACTGCACTCCAGCCAGGGTGACAAAGTGAGACTCCGTCTCAAAAAAAAAAAAAAAAAAAATACAAAAAGTAGCTGAGCGTGGTGGTGGGTGCCCATAATCCCAGCTAGTCGGGAGGCTGAGGCAGGAGAACTGTTTGAACCTGGGAGGCAGAGGTTGCAGTGAGCTGAGATCGTACTACTGTACTCCAGCCTGGGCTGCAGAGTGAAACTATCTCAAAAATAAGTAAATAAAAGTAAAATGAGTTGAGGTCTTGCTCTGTTGCCCAGATGGGAGTGCAGTGGCACAATCAAGGCTCACTGCAGTTTCAGTCTCCCAGGCTCAAGCAATCCTCCCACTGCAGCCTCCTGAGTAGCTGGGACTACAGGCATGTACCACCACCCACTGCTAACTTATTTTTCATGGAGATGGGGGTCTCACTATGTTGCCCAGGCTGGGAGTTTGTTCTTGAAGAAGCAGGGTAGATGGTGAGTGTCCTTGTTCGTGGCACAGCAGGAACTGGCATTTGAGACAGGAGTGCTAATCACCATCCCTCTCCACTCCTCCCTTGATTGTCATCACAGCTCCCACGTGGGACAAGATGGTGTCTTCGGCGCAGATGGGCTTCAACCTGCAGGCTCTCCTGGAGCAGCTCAGCCAGGATGAGTTGAGCAAGTTCAAGTATCTGATCACGACCTTCTCCCTGGCACACGAGCTCCAGAAGATCCCCCACAAGGAGGTAGACAAGGCTGATGGGAAGCAACTGGTAGAAATCCTCACCACCCATTGTGACAGCTACTGGGTGGAGATGGCGAGCCTCCAGGTCTTTGAAAAGATGCACCGAATGGATCTGTCTGAGAGAGCAAAGGATGAAGTCAGAGGTGAGTGGAAATCGGTCCACACTGTGTCCTAGGAGGAAGCAGGCGTCCTCTCCAGGACTTTAGAAATTCAGAAGGCCAGGCGCGCTGGCTCACGCCTGTCGTCCCAGCCCTTTGGGAGGCTGAGGCGGTTGGACCACCTGAGGGTCAGGAGTTTGAGACCAGCCTGACCAACATGGTGATGAAACAGCATCTCTACTAAAAATACAAAAATTTGCTGGACGTGGTGGCAGACACCTGTAATCCCAGCTACTCCGGGAGGCTGAGGCAGGAGAATCACTTAAATCTAGGAGGCGGGGGTTGCTATGAGCCGAGATCACGCCATTGCACCCCAGCCTGGGCAACAAGAGCAAAATTCTGTCTCAAAAAAAAAAAGAAATGGCATTGAGGCTTGGAGAGGGACTGCTTGTTCTGAATGCAGGTGCTGGATCTTCATAAACCCTGGTGTCTGTCCTGGTCCTTATTTTCTACCTACTTCTTTTTTTTTTTTTTTTTGTCCTTTTATTTTTTTATTTTTTATTTTATTATTATTATTTTTTTTATTATACTTTAAGTTTTAGGGTACATGTGCACATTGTGCAGGTTAGTTACATATGTATACATGTGCCATGCTGGTGCGCTGCACCCACTAACTCGTCATCTAGCATTAGGTATATCTCCCAATGCTATCCCTCCCCCCTCCCCCCACCCCACCACAGTCCCCAGAGTGTGATGTTCCCCTTCCTGTGTCCATGTGATCTCATTGTTCAATTCCCACCTATGAGTGAGAATATGCGGTGTTTGGTTTTTTGTTCTTGTGATAGTTTACTGAGAATGATGGTTTCCAATTTCATCCATGTCCCTACAAAGGACATGAACTCATCATTTTTTATGGCTGCATTGTATTCCATGGTATATATGTGCCACATTTTCTTAATCCAGTCTATCATTGTTGGACATTTGGGTTGGTTCCAAGTCTTTGCTATTGTGAATAATGCTGCAATAAACATACGTGTGCATGTGTCTTTATAGCAGCATGATTTATAGTCATTTGGGTATATACCCAGTAATGGGATGGCTGGGTCAAATGGTATTTCTAGTTCTAGATCCCTGAGGAATCCCCACACCGACTTCCACAATGGTTGAACTAGTTTACAGTCCCACCAACAGTGTGAAAGTGTTCCTATTTCTCCACATCCTCTCCAGCACCTGTTGTTTCCTGACTTTTTAATGATCGCCATTCTAACTGGTGTGAGATGATATCTCATAGTGGTTTTGATTTGCATTTCTCTGATGGCCAGTGATGATGAGCATTTTTTCATGTGTTTTTTGGCTGCATAAATGTCTTCTTTTGAGAAGTGTCTGTTCATGTCGTTCGCCCACTTTTTGATGGGGTTGTTTGTTTTTTTCTTGTAAATTATTTTCTACCTATTTCTATCGCTTTCAGGTATCGTACAGTTGGCCTAACATATCTGTGGATTTAACCAATCCTAGATCAAAAATAATGGGGGCAAAGACAATTAAAAATAACAATACAATAAAATGCACATGAACTATGGTTATTTAACTCTTCTTGAGAGAGGATCTCACTCTGTCACCCAGGCTGGAATTTAGCAGCACGATCTCGGCTCACTGCAACCTCCGCCTCCCGGGTTCAAGCGATTCTCCTGCCTCAGCCTCCCGAGTAGCCGGGATTACAAGCATGTCCCACCATGCCTGGCTGATTTTTTTTTTTTTTTTTTTTGTATTCTAAATAGAGATGGGGTTTCACCATGTTAGCCAGGATAGTCTCGATGTCGTGACCTCATGATCTGCCCGCCTCGGCCTCCCAAAGTGTTGGGATTACAGGCGTGAGCCACCGCACCCAGCCAGCAAGTGCATTTAGAACTACTCTACTTTCTACCCCATAACTTTTTTTTTTGTTTGTTTGAGACAAGTCTCACTCTGTCACCCAGGATGGAGTGCAGCAGCACAATCTCAGCTTATTGCAACTCCCGCCCCCTGGGTTCAAGTGTTTCTCCTGCATCAGCCTCTTGAATAGCTAGGATTATACAGGCACCTGCCACTGTGCCTGGCTAAATTTTGTATTTTAATAGAGATGGGGTTTCACTATGTTGGCCAGGCTGGTCTTGAACTCCTGACCACGTGATCAACCCGCCTCAGCCTCCCAATGTGCTGGAATTACAGGTGTGAGCCGCCATGCCCAGCTACACTTTTTTTTGAAACGGGGTCTCGTTTTCTTGCTCAGGCTGGAGTACAATGGGGCAATCACAGCTCACTGCAGCCTTGACCTCCCAGACTTGAGCAATCCTACCACTATGGCCTCCCACCACACCTCGCTCATTCTTGTATATATATATATTTTTGTAGAGATAGGGTTTCACCATGTTGCCCAGGCTGGTCTCGAACTTCTGTGGGCTCAACCGATCCTCCTGCCTTGGCTTCCCACAGTCCTGGGATCAGAAACATGAGCCACAGTGCCTGGCCAGTGCAGCTTTATTTACAGTAACCAAGATATAGAGTCAGTCTAAGTGACCATCAGTGGATGAATAAAAAATGTGCCCGTTGGGTACCCTGCCTACTGCCTGGGTTATGAGATTGTTGGGACCCCAAGCCTTAAAAAGGAAACATGGTAGGCCGGGCACAGTGGCTCACGCCTGTAATCACAGCACTTTGGGAGGCCAAGGCGGGTGGATCACTTGAGGCCAGGAGTTTGAGACCAGTCAGGCCAATGTGGTGAAACCCTGTCTCTACTAAAAATATAAAAAAATCAGCCGGGCGTGGTGGCACACTCCTGTAGTCCCAGCTACTTGGGAGGCTGAGGCAGGAGGATTGCTTGAACCAGAGAGTCAGAGGTTGCAGTGAGCCAAGATCGTGCCACTGCGCTCCAGCCTGGGTGACAGCAAGACTCCATCTCAAAAAAAAAAAACAAACAAACATGGTATTAATTACACAATGGAATACTCCTCAACCTTAAGGAACTCCTATCTTTTTATTTAAAAATTGCCAGTTTTATTTCAGCTAGAGATCACTTTTTAGCATAATGTTTCCTGTCTTTAACAATGGGTGAGGGTTTTTTTTTTTTTTTTTTTGGTTTGGTTTGGATTTTGGTTTTGCTTTTGAGTCGAAGTTTCACTCTTGTCTCCCAGGCTAGAGTGCAATGGCGCGATCTCGGCTCACTGTGACCTCCTCCTCCCAGGTTTAAGTGATTCTCCTGCCTCAGCCTCCAGAGTAGCTGGGATTACAGGCGCCTACCACCATGCCCGCTAATTTTTGTATTTTAGTAGAGACAGGGTTTTACCATGTTGACCAGACTGGTCTCGAACTCCCGACCTCAGGTGATCTGCCCACCTCAGCCTCCCAGAGTGCTGGGATTACAGGTGTGAGCAACCATGCCCGGCCAAGGGTTTTTAACTTTAGCTGACCTCCGGAGGTTACAAGTTTGAAAACGGCAGGAGGAAACCCAGAGAGTTGTAAACTTACGAAGGTCTGGGCTCTGAAAAAGATACAAATTTTCTTTCCATGCCAATAGCGCTCACACAGACATGGTGAATGTTCCTGAAACCCGCCGGACTTTCTGTAAGAAGTGTGGCAAGCACCACCCCCACAAAGTGACACAAGGCAAGGATTCTTGGTATGCCCAGGGGAAGTAGTGTTATGACAGGAAGCAGAGTGGCTATGGTGGGCAGACTAAGCCGATTTTCCGGAAAAAGGCTAAAACTACAAAGAAGATTGTGCTAAGGCTTGAGTGCCTTGAGCCCAACTGCAGATCTAAGAATGCTGGCTATTAAAAGATACAAGCAGCCAAGCGCGGTGGCTCACGCCTGTAATCCCAACACTTTGGGAGGCCGAGGTGGGCGGATCACAAGGTCAGGAGTCTGAGACCAGCCTGGCCAAAATGGTGAAACCCCATCTCTACTAAAAATACAAAACTTAGCTGGGCATGGTGGTGTATGCCTATAGTCCCAGCTACTCAGGAAGCTGAGGCAGGAGAATCGCTTGAACCTGGGAGGCAGAGGTTGCAGTGAGCCAAGATTGTGCCACTCCAGCCTGGGCAACAGAGTGACACTCTGTCTCAAAAAAAAAAGATGCAAGCATTTTGAACTGGAAGGAGATAAGAGAAAGGAACAAGTGATCCAGTTCTAAGTGTCATCTTTTCTTTTATGAAGGCAATAAAATCTTGAGCTTATGGTAAAATGCAAAATTTTCCCCCCTTCTCCTTTTTCAGAAGCAGCTTTGAAATCCTTTAATAAAAGGAAGCCTCTATCATTAGGTAAGTTACCTCATTTATAACTTTTATTCTTCATGTGAGATCTGGGGACTCGGGCCTTTGTTTTAAGGAGAATGTGCTGAGCACTAAGAATGCAAAGAAATGCCGGACTTAGCATCCCTGCTCCCAGGGCGGAGCTGGTCTCGCAGGTGCGTAGCAGTAAGACCTGGGAAGCTGAAACACGATCGCGTTTGTTGGAAATCTATAAATACATACAAAGCGGGGAAGGGTAAGCTTGGCCTTTGAATCTGGATAAGGTAGAGACTTTTCTTTTTTGAGATGGAGGCTTGCTCTGTCACCTAGGCTGAAGTGCAGTGGTACGACCTCGGCTGACTGCAACCTCTACCTCCTGGGTTCAAGCAGTTCTCCTGCCTCAGCCTCTAGAATAGCTGGGATTACAGGTACCTGCCACCAGGCCCGGCTAATTTTTTGTGGTGTTTGTAGAGATGGGGTTTCACCATGATGGCCAGGCTGGTCTTGAACTCCTGACCTCAAGTGATCTGCCCACCTCAGCGTCCCAAAATGCTGGGATTATGGGCATGAGCCACCACCACACCCGGTTTTGTTTTTTTTTTTTTTTTTTTTTTTTTTTTTTTTTTTTTGAAACAGGGCTTCACTCTGTCACTTAGGCTGGAGTGGTGCAATCATGGTTCACTGCAGCCTTGACCTCCCAAGCTCTGGTGATCCTCCTGCCTCAGCCTCCTGAGTAGCTGGGACCACAGGCACTTGCCACCATGCCTGGCTAATTTTTTTCACTTTTTGTAGAGACAGGGTCTTGCTATGTTGCCCAGGCTGGCCTCGAATTACTAAACTCAATCAGTCCTCCTGCCTCACCCTCCCAAACTGCTGGGGTACAGGTGTGAGCCATGACACCTGGCCCTTACCAGCTACTTATATCCTGAAGATTATTATTATTTTTTTTTTTTTTGAGATAGAGTCTCTCTCTGTTGCCCAGGCTGGAGTGCAGTGGCGTGATCTCGGCTCACTGCAAGCTCCGCCTCCCGGGTTCATGCCATTCTCCTGCCTCAGCCTCCCGAGTAGCTGGGACTACAGGCGCCCACCACCACGCCTGGCTAATTTTTTTGTGTTTTTAGTAGAGACGGGGTTTCACCGTGTTAGCCAGGATGGTCTCGATCTCCTGACCTTGTGATCCGCCCGCCTCGGCCTCCCAAAGTGCTGGGATTACAGGCGTGAGCCACCGCGCCCGGCCCCTGAAGATTGTGTTTTGAGATGGGGTCTTGCTGTGTTGCTCCGGCTTGATTGCAGTGGCACAGTCATAGCTCATTGCAGCCTCAACCTTCCAGGCTCCAGAGATCCTCTTACCTCAGCCTCCTGAGTAGCTGGGACTACAGGTGTGCACTGCCACACCTGACTAATATTTGTATTTTTGGTAGGGACAGTTTCACTATGTTGCCAGATATGGTGTCAAACTCCTGGTCTCAAGTGATCCTCCCACCTTGGCCTCCCAAAGTGCTGGGATTACAGACATGATTCACCACACCTGGCCATGAAGACTTTTTTTTTTTGGACAAAGTCTCACTCTGTTGCCCAGGATGGAATGCAGTGGCATGATCTCAGCTCACTGCAACCTCTGACCTCCGCCTCCCGGTTCAAGTGATTCTCTTGCCTCAGCCTCCCGAGTAGCTGGGATTATAGGTGTCTGCCACCAAGCCCAGCTAATTTTTGTAATTTTAGTAGAGATGGGGTTTCACCATGTTGGCCAGGCTGGTCTTGAACTCCTGACCTCGTGATCCACGTGCCTCAGCCTCCCAAAGTGTTGGGATTACAGGTGTGAGTCACTGCGCCTGGTCTCATGAAGACCTTTTTTGAGACAGAGTCTTGCTCTGTCACCCAGGCTGGAGTGCAGTGGTACAATCTCACTGCAGCCTCCGCCTCCCAGGTTCAAGTGATTCTCCTGCCTTAGCCTCCCAAGTAGCTGGGATTACAGGCGCCTACCACCACGTCTGGCTAATTTTTGTATTTTTAGTAGAGACAGGGTTTCACCATGTTGGCCAGGCTGGTCTCAAACTGCTGACCTCAAATGAACTGTCTGCCTCAGCCTCACAAAGTACTGGGATTACAGGCATGAGCCACCTCACCTGGTGGTGAAGACTCTAAAGGCTCTTCTCAGATCAGCCTTTGTCCTGAATTTCACATGCCCGTGTCCAGTTCCCTCCCCAGCATCTTTTCAGGAGTTCCATGGACTCACCTCTTCATTATCCAGGGTTAAGCTGCAGATATTGTTATTAGGATTCCACCTTGTTCTCTCTCTTTTTTTTTTTTTTTTTGATACGGAGTCTCGCTTGCTCTTTTGCCAGGCTGAAGTGCAGTGGAGCGATCTTGGCTCACTGCAATCTCCGCCTCCTGGGTTCAAGCAATTCCCTTGCCTCAGCCTCGCAAGTAGCTGGGACTTACAGGTAACACACCACCATGCCCGGCTAATTTTTTGTTTTAGTAGAGACGGGGCTTCACCATGTTGGCCGGGATGGTCTCGATCTCCTGACCTCATGATCCGCCTGCCTTGGCCTCCCAAAGTGTTGGGTTACAGGCATGAGCCACCATGCCCGGCTGATTCCACCTTGTTCTTACATTCTTTCCCAGTTCATTTTAAATTTATCTACCTCATCAGAAACTAGGGGGTTAGGCCTGGCAGGCAGATCACCTGAGGTTGGGAGTTCGAGACCAGCCTGACCAACGTAGAGAAACCCTGTCTGTACTAAAAATACAAAATTAGCCAGGTATGGTGGCACATTCCTGTAATCCCAGCTACTCCGGAGGCCGAGGCAGGAGAATCACTTGAACCCAGGAGGCGGAGGTTGCAGTGAGCCGACATCACACCATTGCATTCCAGCCTGGGCAACAAGAGCAAAACTACATCTCAAAAAAAAAGAAAAACTAGGCAGTTAATCCTCAAAGCCTTTCCAGTGGCCTTATGCGTGAGTAGTTTGTGTGTGTGTGTGTGTGTGTGTGTGTGTGTGTGTGTCTTTCACACCATGTGTTCTGAACTACTTAGGAATTCTCACCAGAAAGGCACATAAACCTGGGATCATGGCCTAATGTACTTTCACTTTTACATCCAGTACCTTATCAACGTCCTTTTTAGTACCTAATCTAGGCTTCACTACTGAGACTCAGGGGTCCAACTTGAGCCATCTTGGAGTCCCACTGCCAGCACAGCAACAGGCCTGTAATGCCGCCCTTTTTCTCCAGGGATAACACGGAAAGAACGACCACCTCTAGACGTGGACGAAATGCTGGAGCGCTTCAAAACAGAAGCACAAGGTGGGTGTCAGGACCTCCAATGTTGGAGTCAGCTGAGGAAGCCCCCCGTTCTTGCTGCTATCTCCTGTTCCTTTGAAGAACCCCATCTCTCTCCAATCTTTTCCTCCACTATTCTTAATGTGCCCACTGTCTCCTGGAGAATGCCAACCTCCCTTCCGTAAGAATAGAGGGAAGAACGAACGTTGCAGAGAATTAGAACTCAGTTTGTAGAAAGTTAGGAGCACAGCGCAGAGAGTTTTTGTTTTTGTTTTTGTTTTGAGACAGTTTCTCTGTTGGCCAGGTTGGAATGCAATGGCGCGATCTCGGCTCACTGTAACCTCCACCTCCCAGGTTCAAGCGATTCTCCTGATTCTCCTGACTCAGCCTCCTGAGTAGCTGGGATTATAGGCACCTGCCACCACACCCAGCTAATTTTTTTTTTTTTTTTTGAGACGAAGTCTTGTTCTTGTCACCCAGGCTGGAGTATAGTGGCACCATCCCTGTTCACTGCAACCTCCGCCTCCCAGATTCAAGTGATTGTCCTGTCTCAGCCTCCTGAGTAGCTGGGACTACAGGTGCATGCCACCACGCCCAGCTAATTTTTTTTTGTACTTTTAGTAGAGACAGGTTTCACCATCTCATTCAGGGTGGTCTCAAACTCCTGACCTCAAGAGATCTGCTCCACCCACCCCCAAGTCTCCCGAAGTGCTGGGATTACAGGCGAGAGCCACCGTACCCGGCCTTCTTTAAATTATTTAAAAGTTGACAGGTGGCCAGGTGTGGTGGCTCTCACCTATAATCTCCCAGCACTTTGGGAGGCTGAGGCGGGTGGATCAAGAGATCGAGACCATCCTGGCCAACATGGTGAAACCCAACTCTACTAAAAACACAAAAATTAGCCGGGTGTGGTGGCACCCGCCTGTAGTCCCAGCTACTCAGGAGGCTGAGGCAGGAGAATCGCTTGAACCCGGGAGGTGGAGGTTGCAGTGAGCCAAGATTGTGCCACTGCACTCCAGCCTGGCAACAGTGCGAGACTCCATCTTAAAAAAAAAAAAAAAAAATTGACAGGCATAAATGTATTTATGGTACATTGCTCAGACAACTTTAATATAAACAACTTACAGAGAAAATTGAGTCTTTTGGGTAGGTGACTTGCCTGAGCTGACTTTGTGATAGGTTTTTTCTGTTTTTTTTGTTTTTGAAATAGAGTCTCACTCTGTCATGCAGGCTGGAGTGCAGTGGCCCCATCTTGGCTCACTGCAATCTCTGCCTCCTGGGTTCAAGGGGTCTTCCTGCCACAGCCTCCCCAGGTGCTGGGACTATAGGTGCCCACCACTATGCCTGGCTAACTTTTGTGTTTTTAGTACAGATGGGGTTTCAACAGGGTAGCCAGGTTGGTCTAGAACTCCTGACCTCAAGTGATCCACCTACCTCGGTCTCCTAAAGTGCTGGGATTACAGCTGTGAACCACCGCACCTAGCCTGTGATCAGTTTCAGATCAGCCTTGCTTACTCCACATTCCCTCTTATCTTCCTGGTAGCATTTTTGTTTTTTCTTGAGAAAGAGTTTTGCCCTTGTCGCCCAGGCTAGAGTGCAATGGTGTGATCTCGGCTCGCCACAACCTCCACCTCCCAGGTTCAAGTGATTCTGCCTCAGCCTCCCGAGTAGCTGGGATCATAGGCGCCCACCACCACATCTGGCTAATTTTTGCATTTGTTAGTTTTATTTTTAGTAGACAGGGTTTCACCATGTTGGGCAGGCTGGTCTTGAACTCCTGACCTCAGGTGATCCACCCACTTCGGCCTCCCAAAGTGCTGGGATTACAGGCATGAGCCACCGTACCTAGCCCACATTGACTTTTGATACAGCAAGTATTTCTTGCTATGGCTCTGTATAATAGAGGTGAGTAACTTGGTTGAAGGAATTGTTTGCCCTGTTCATCTCTCTAGACACGGCCAATGTCATTCCTGGCACACAATCTTTTTTTTTCTTGAGATGGAGTCTCACTCTGTTGCCCAGACTGGAGTGCAGTGGTGCAATCTTGGCCCACTGCAACCTCTGCTACCCAGGTTCAAGCGATTCTCCTGCCTCAGCCTCCCAAATAGCTGGGAGTACAGGTGTGTGCCACCACGCCCAGCTAATTTTTTGTATTTTAGTAGAGACAGGGTTTCACCGTGTTAGTCAGGATGGTCTGGATCTCCTAACCTCGTGATCCGTCCGCCTCAGCCTCCCAAAGTGCTGGGATGACAGGCGTGAGCCACTGTGCCCAGCCTAGCACACAATCTTGACAAAGAATTTCGGTGCGACTTGGGGTACTGTGGTGCCTGCTCTATCATCATGCTTCAGCAGGAAATGTGGGTGAATAGTGCCTGGTGGCATGGCAGGTAAAGAAATGTTTTGTTTTGTTTTTTTTTTTGAGACAGTCTTGCTCTGTCACCCAAGCTGGAGTGCAGTGGCGCAATCTCGGCTCACTGCAAGCTCCATCTCCCGGGTTCACGCCATTCTGCCTCAGCCTCCCCAGTAGCTGGGACTACAGGCGCCCGCCACACGCCCGGCTAATTTTTTGTATTTGTAGTAGAGACAGGGTTTCACCGTGTTAGCCAGGATGGTCTCGATCTCCTGACCTTATGATCCACCCGCCTTGGCCTCCCAAAGTGCTGGGATTACAGGCGTGAGCCACCGCGCCCAGCCGCGGGTAAAGAAATTTATGAAGACAATCGTAGGTAAAGGAAGGCAGATTTATTGGAGAAAGTAGGAAAAGACATTGGCAGAGAGACCCCAGCGGGCAGGTTGTCATGAGTAGCTCACTGCCAGGAGACCAAAGCTTCCTGCAGATTTTATAGAATAGGGCTTGGGCTGATTGATAATGTCAACAGGGGGTTTAACTTGCGGTCTTCTTTCAGCAGAAGTGTTTGATAAACTGAGGCGTTTCATGGCAAACAGGGAGTTTGTGAGCTCTGTGTGTGATCTGGCCAGGAAGGCCAAACATCTTGGGCCGTATCTCCTGGACCATAAAAGCAGACCTGGCCCAGTGCAGTGGTTCATGCCTGCAATCCCAGCACTTTGGGAGGCTGAGGTGGGTGGATCATCTGAGGTCAGCAGTTTTAGACTGGCCTGGCCAACATGGCGAAACCCCATCTCTACTAAAAATACAAAAATTAGCCTAGACGCAGTGGCACATGCCTGTAATTCCAGTTACTTGGGAAGCTGAGGCAGGAGAATCGCTTGAACCCGGGAGGCGGAGGTTGCAGTGAGCTGAGATTGCGCCACTGCACTCCAGCCTGGGCAACAGAGTGAGACTGTCTCAAACAGACCTATAGCTGACCTGTTTCCTCTTGTTTGTATGCCCTGAACCATGGAGGAAAGCTTATTTATTTATTTTATTGAGATGGAGTCTTGCTCTGTTGCCCAGGGTGGAGTGCAGTAGTGCGATCTCTTACTACAACCTCCATCTCCCAGGTTCAAGCAATTCTCGAGCCTCTTGGCCTCCCAAGTAGCTGAGATTACAGGCATGCGCCACCACGCCTGGCTAATTTTTGCATTTTTAGTAGAGATGGGGTTTCTGTGTTGGCCAGGCTGGTCTCGAACTCCTGAGCTCAAGTGATCCACCCCACCTCAGCCTCCCAAAGTTCTGGGATTATAGGCATGAGCCACCACACCTGGCCGGAAAACACATTTGTAGCTTATTTGCTTTATCTGATCCCGTGCCCCCCCTCCCCCCCGCCCCATCAGCCTGCCTCCTTTTCTCTAATTGGGACTCCACAGGAAATACACCTGATTTTGTGTCAATCTCACATGAGTTTGTATTTTGTAGCGTTTACAGAAACGAAAGGAAATGTCATCTGCCTGGGTAAAGAAGTCTTTAAAGGAAAAAAGCCAGGTCTGTACCATATCTTCCTGCAGGGAGCTTGGGATCAGATTTCTCTTTATAAACTTGAAGTCCTCTTAACTTTCCTATGTAACACAAAGCATTTATTTATGTATGTATGTATCGAGACGGAGTTTTGCTCTTGTTGCCCAGGCTGGAGTGCCGTGGCGTGATCTCGACTCACTGCAACCTCCGCCTCCCAGGTTCAAGCAATTCTCCTGCCTCAGCCTCCCGAGTAGCTGGGATTACAGGCATGCGCCACCATGACTGGCTAATTTTTTATTTTTAGTAGAGACAAGGTTTCTTCATGTTGGTCAGGCTGGTGTTGAACTCCCAATGTCAGGTGATCTGCCTGCCTCGACCTCCCAAAGGGCTGGGATTACAGGCATGAGCCACTGTGCCCGGCCAACACAAGGCATTTTGTTATTTTGGTTTTCCCTATGGGTAACTGATTGCATCCTCTCTCCCTTCCCTCCTCACCAATGATAAAGACAAAGACAATAGGTGCAGGTATATATTGAAGACGAAGTTCCGGGAGATGTGGAAGAGCTGGCCTGGAGATAGCAAAGAGGTCCAGGTTATGGCTGAGAGATACAAGATGCTGATCCCATTCAGCAACCCCAGGGTGCTTCCCGGGCCCTTCTCATACACGGTGGTGCTGTATGGTCCTGCAGGCCTTGGGAAAACCACGCTGGCCCAGAAACTAATGCTAGACTGGGCAGAGGACAACCTCATCCACAAATTCAAATATGCGTTCTACCTCAGCTGCAGGGAGCTCAGCCGCCTGGGCCCGTGCAGTTTTGCAGAGCTGGTCTTCAGGGACTGGCCTGAATTGCAGGATGACATTCCACACATCCTAGCCCAAGCACGGAAAATCTTGTTCGTGATTGACGGCTTTGATGAGCTGGGAGCCGCACCTGGGGCGCTGATCGAGGACATCTGCGGGGACTGGGAGAAGAAGAAGCCGGTGCCCGTCCTCCTGGGGAGTTTGCTGAACAGGGTGATGTTACCCAAGGCCGCCCTGCTGGTCACCACGCGGCCCAGGGCCCTGAGGGACCTCCGGATCCTGGCGGAGGAGCCGATCTACATAAGGGTGGAGGGCTTCCTGGAGGAGGACAGGAGGGCCTATTTCCTGAGACACTTTGGAGACGAGGACCAAGCCATGCGTGCCTTTGAGCTAATGAGGAGCAACGCGGCCCTGTTCCAGCTGGGCTCGGCCCCCGCGGTGTGCTGGATCGTGTGCACGACTCTGAAGCTGCAGATGGAGAAGGGGGAGGACCCGGTCCCCACCTGCCTCACCCGCACGGGGCTGTTCCTGCGTTTCCTCTGCAGCCGGTTCCCGCAGGGCGCACAGCTGCGGGGCGCGCTGCGGACGCTGAGCCTCCTGGCCGCGCAGGGCCTGTGGGCGCAGACGTCCGTGCTTCACCGAGAGGATCTGGAAAGGCTCGGGGTGCAGGAGTCCGACCTCCGTCTGTTCCTGGACGGAGACATCCTCCGCCAGGACAGAGTCTCCAAAGGCTGCTACTCCTTCATCCACCTCAGCTTCCAGCAGTTTCTCACTGCCCTGTTCTACACCCTGGAGAAGGAGGAGGAAGAGGATAGGGACGGCCACACCTGGGACATTGGGGACGTACAGAAGCTGCTTTCCGGAGTAGAAAGACTCAGGAACCCCGACCTGATCCAAGCAGGCTACTACTCCTTTGGCCTCGCTAACGAGAAGAGAGCCAAGGAGTTGGAGGCCACTTTTGGCTGCCGGATGTCACCGGACATCAAACAGGAATTGCTGCGATGCGACATAAGTTGTAAGGGTGGACATTCAACGGTGACAGACCTGCAGGAGCTCCTCGGCTGTCTGTACGAGTCTCAGGAGGAGGAGCTGGTGAAGGAGGTGATGGCTCAGTTCAAAGAAATATCCCTGCACTTAAATGCAGTAGACGTTGTGCCATCTTCATTCTGCGTCAAGCACTGTCGAAACCTGCAGAAAATGTCACTGCAGGTAATAAAGGAGAATCTCCCGGAGAATGTCACTGCGTCTGAATCAGACGCCGAGGTTGAGAGGTGAGAACCGTTTCACTCTACCAGTCGTTCCATCTTTAGCCTCATCCCATGCCCCCTTAGGAAGAGGCCAGAGCCTCCTATGCACTGTGGCTTAGGGTCAGGAATTCCCTCTTGTTGGACTCTTTGTTTGTTTTTGTTTTGAGATGGAGTCTTGCTCTGTCGCTCAGGCTGGAGCGCAGTGGCGCGATCTTGGCTCCCTGCAACCTCCGCCTCCCGGGTTCAAGTGATTCTTCTGCCTCAGCCTCCTGAGTAGCTGGGACTACAGGCGCCTGCCACCT
Source organism: Homo sapiens (assembly GCF_000001405.40). Lineage (NCBI taxonomy): Eukaryota > Metazoa > Chordata > Mammalia > Primates > Hominidae > Homo > Homo sapiens. The sequence continues at coordinate 966,079 of NW_003571058.2, forward strand.
TGCCCGGCTAATTTTTATATTTTCATTAGAGACGGGATCTCAGCATGTTGGCCAGTCTGGTCTTGAACTCCGCCTGACCTCAGGTGATCCACCTGCCTCAGCCTCCAAAGTGGGATTACAGGCATGATTCACCATGCCCGGCCCAAATATATTTTTTTAAGACAGGGTCTTGCTGTGTTGCTCAGGCTGGAGTACAGTGGTGAAATCAGCTCACTGCATCCTCAAACTTCTGGGTTCAAGTGATGTTCCTGAGTACCTGGGATGACAGGTATTAAGTGTGCACCATCATGTCCAGCTAACTTAAGTGGGGGTTTTTTTTTGTGTTTTTTTTTTTTTTTTTTTTTTTGGAAAGACAAAATCTCACTATGTTGTCCAGGCTGGTCTTGAACTCCCAAAGCACTGAGATTACAGGCATGAGTTACCACACGCCCTGCCTGAATATTTCTTATTGATATGTATAGATATGTATATTCCCAATCTTTTTTTTTTTTTTTGAGACGGAGTTTCACTCTTTTTCCCAGGTCGGAGTGAAGTGGCTCGATCTCGGCTCACTGCAACCTCCGCCCCACCAGGTTCAATGATTCTCCTGCCTCAGCCTCATGAGTAGCTGGGATTACAGCCACCCACGACCATGCCCAGCTAATTTTTGTACTTTTAGTAGAGACGGGGTTTCACCATGTTGGCCAGGCAGGTCTCGAACTCCCGACCTCAGGTGATCCACCCGCCTCAGCCTCACAAAGTGCTAGGATTATAGGCGTGAGTCACCGTGCCCGGTCTATATTCTCTATCTTTTATCAATGATGTGCTTAGCATTTTAACTTATTTTTACCCTCTATTGGATTTTTGTCTAAGAAGAATAGGTTCTTTCTCCTGTGATGCTTCTTGGGTGTTGAGTTGTCTGATGGTGGTGCTAATAAGTGATTACATGGTCCAGCTTTCAATTGTACTCATTTGTCAGGGGTATATGCCCAGAGAAACCCTAAATACTTCAGCCGTGATGGACACACATTTGGTGTAACCCTTTCTTCTCTTCCCTATAGATCCCAGGATGATCAGCACATGCTTCCTTTCTGGACGGACCTTTGTTCCATATTTGGATCAAATAAGGATCTGATGGGTCTAGCAATCAATGATAGCTTTCTCAGTGCCTCCCTAGTAAGGATCCTGTGTGAACAAATAGCCTCTGACACCTGTCATCTCCAGAGAGTGGTGTAAGTAGAAACTAATTCATGAACTCAAATCCTTAGGGTATGAAAATGGTACAATGTTAACATCGGAGCAATATTCAGATTCCTGTACTAGACTCTTAAGTGCTCGAGACACAGGGAATTGAGAGAGTCCTGTCCTTAAATTTATTTTGTGGGATAATCGTATAAAGTAATTTCTAGGGGCTGGGCATGGTGGTTCACACTTGTAATTCCAACACTTCGGGAGGCCGAGGCAGACAGATCACTTGAGGTCAGGAGTTCGAGACCAGCCTGGCCAACGTGACAAAACCCTGCCTCTACTAAAAATACAAAAATTATCCAGGCGTGGTGGCAGGCACCTGTAATATCAGCTACTTGGGAGGCTGAGGCAGGAGAATTACTTGAACCCAGGAGGCGGAGGTTGCAGTGAACCAAGATCCTGCCACTGGACTCCAGTCTGAGTGACAGAGCGAGACTGCGTCTCAAAAAAAAAAAAAAAAAAAAAGAAAAAGAAAAAAAGGGCCGGGCACAATGGCTCACGCCTGTAGTCCCAGCACTTTGGGGGCCCAAGGTGGGGGGATCACTTGAGGTCAGGAGTTCAAGACCAGCCTGGCCAAGATGGTGCAAGACCCTGTCTCTACGAAAAATACAAAAATTTGCCAGGTGTCGTGGCAGGTGCCTATAATCCCAGCTACTCCGGATGCTGAGGGTAGGAGTCGCTTGAATCCGGGAGGCAGAGTTTGCTTTGCAGTGAGCCGAGATCGCGCCACTGCACTCCAGCCTGGGCAACAGAGTGAGACTCCATCTCAAAGAAAAAAAAAATCTGTAAAGATGGACAAAAATTTAAACATGGAAAAAATAGTTCCTAAAGTTTAAATATATCGAGCCCCTGGTTTCCATTTAAGTACGATACAGGTGTACACACTAAAGATTTCACTTTCGTTCTCTTTTCCCTAGGTTCAAAAACATTTCCCCAGCTGATGCTCATCGGAACCTCTGCCTAGCTCTTCGAGGTCACAAGACTGTAACGTATCTGACCCTTCAAGGCAATGACCAGGATGATATGTTTCCCGCATTGTGTGAGGTCTTGAGACATCCAGAATGTAACCTGCGATATCTCGGGTATATCTCTTAATCATTAAAATCCTTCATCATACAAACATAAGCTACCACAAGCTTATGTGGCAATTTTGTGTAAATAAGAAAAAGTTCGTTATTCTGACTAGAAACAGTACTAAGGGCAGATGACCCAGGATGCAGCATGGGCTGAACTTGAGTTTCTACTTGCCTTGAACAGTAAACACCCTGGACAACCATACGTGAGGACCCTGAATCCAAAGAAACTCCCAGAATCTTTATCATCTTTTTTTTTTTTTTTATGAAGTCTTGCTCTGTTGCCCAGGCCAAAGTGCAATGGCACGATCTTGGCTCACTGCAACCTCTGTCTCCTGGGTTCAAGTAATTCTGCTGCCTCAGCCTCCCAAGTTGCTGGGATTACAGGCACCCGCCACCACGCCCGGCTAATTTTTGTGCATTTAGTGGAGCTGGTTTCGCCACATTGCCAGGCTGGTCTCGAACTCATGACCTCAGGTGACCTGCCCTCCTCAGGCTCCCAAAGTGCTGGGATTATAGGCATGAGCCACCATGCCCAGCCAGAGTCCTTATGTTTTGGTTTTGGTTTTGGTTTTTTCTTTTTCTTTTTTCTTTTTGAGATGGAGTCTCGCTCTGTCACCCAGGCTGGAGTGCGTTGGTATGATCTCAGGTCACTGCAGCCTCCACCTCCCAGGTTCAAGTGATTCTCCTGCCTCAGCCTCCTGAGTAGCTGGGATTACAGGTGCACACCACCACACCTGGTTAATTTTTGTATTATTAGTAGAGATGGAGTTTTACCACATTGGCCAGGCTGGTCTCGAACTCATGACCTCAGGTGATCTACCCCCCCACCCCCACCCCACCCCGCCGTCGGCCTCCCAAAGTGAGGCATGAGCCACCGTGCCCAGCCCAGAATCTTTATCTTCTATCAGAGATCATTCACTCATGGTTCATGCTTCTCCTGTATGATGATTCAGAATACCAGCTATTGACATTTTTCAAGCAAGAACCCTTCAGGAACATCAAGTTGCCCCTTTTCTGTTAGTCCTCTGGTTTGAGAGCTCTCCCCTTGGGAAGCTGTCCAGTGGCTGCCCAGGCGATGAGAACCTACATGCATCATGGGGTTCCATGAAGCCTCACTTGGCCACACTGGTGTAGTAGGTGGTCATTGGCCTCAAATTATTGCCCTGGGCCAGGCGCAGTGGCTCACGCCTGGGAGGCCGAGGTGGGTGGATCACTTGAGGTCAGGAGTTCAAGACCGGCCTGGTCAACATGGTGAAACTCTGTCTCTACTAATAATACAAAAATTAGCTGGGCATGTTGGCGCACGCCTGTAGTCCCAGCTACTCAGGAGGCTGAGGCAGGAGCATCATTTGAACCTGAGAGGCGGAGGTTGCAGTGAGCTGAGATCACACCACCGCACTCCAGTCTGGGCAACAGTGTGAGACTGTCTCAAAAAAAAAAAAAAAAATCTTGGCTGGGTGCGGTAGCTCATGCCTGTAATCCCAGCACTTTGGGAGGCCAAGGCAGGTGGATCACAAGGTCAGGAGTTCAAGACCAGCCTGGCCAACATGGTGAAACCCCACGTCTACTAAAAATACAAAAACATTAGCTGGGCATGGTGGCGCGTGCCTGTAATCCCAGCTACTCATGGAGGCTGATGCAAGAGAATTGCTTGAACCTAGGAGGCAGAGGTAGCAGTGAGCCAAGATCACGCCATTGCACTCCAGCCTGGGCAACAGAGCAAAACTCCATCTCGAGGACAGAAAAAAAATTGATTGCTCTGGCTCTACTGATACAATCTTAGGCTGCTTAATGGGATCTTAGTTGAATAGGATGCTGTACATCTTACAGGTATTGGAAGGTTGAATGAAACCAAGCCCATGCATTCAATAGTGGCTGCTATCATTACTAACCGTTGCAATTACCCTCTTTTCTTTTTGCCTGAGAATAATGGGATGCAGGGTGAGGGGGAATATTGGGTGAATTAAAGATTTGGGTCACTAATTTCTTTCTTTTTTTCTCAAGATATAGTCTTGCTCTGTCTCCTAGGCTGGAGTGCAGTGCCACAATCTTGGTTCACTGCAACCTCTGCCTCCCGGGTTCAAGTGATTCTTCTCCGTCAACCTCCCAAGTAGCTGGGATTACAGGCACCCACCTGTATTTTTGTATTTCTAGTATTTTGTATTTCTAGTAGAGACAGGGTTACGCCATGCTGGTGGCCAGGGTGGTCTCAAACTCCTGACCTCGGGCAATCCACCACACCCAGCTAATTTTTGGTATATTTAGTAGAGCCGGGGTTTCACCGTGTTGGCTGGGCTGGTCTCGAACTCCTGACCTCAAGTGACATCCATCTTCCAAAATGCTGGGATTACAGCCATGTGCCACCACGCCCAGCTAATTCTTGTATTTTTAGGAGAAATGGGGTTTCATCATGTTGTTCCGGCTGGTCTTAAACTCCTGGCCTCATGATCCACCTGCCTTGGCCTGCCAAAGTCCTGGGATTACAGGCATGAGCCACTGTGCCCAGCCACTCATTTCTTATGAATTTATTCTAACACATTTTCCGGATGAACAGGGCACCTTGAAACATAGGTTAGTGGGCTGGGTATGGTGGCTCCTGCCTGTAATCCCAGTACTTTGGGAGGCCTAGGCTGGTGTATCGCTTGAAGTCAGGAGTTTTTTGTTTTGAGACGGAGTCTTGCTCTGTCGCCCAGGCTAGAGTGCAGTGGAGTGATCTCGGCTTACTGCAACCTCCGCCTCCTGGGTTCAAGTGATTCTCTTGCCTCAGCCTCCTGAGTAGCTGGGACTACAGGCACGTGTCGCCACGCCCATCTAACTTTTGTATGTTTAGTAGAGCCGGGGTTTCACCATGTTGGCCAGGATGGTCTCAAACTCCTGACCTCCTGATCTGCCCACCTCGGCCTCCCAAAGTGCTGGGATTACAGGCATGAGCCATTGCCCCGGCCAAAGTTAGGAGTTTGAGACCAGCCTGGCCAACATGGTAAAACCCCATCTCTACTAAAAAATACAAAAATTAGCCAGGCAAGATGGCATTTGCCTGTAATCCCAGCTACTCAGGAGGCTGAGGCGGGAGAATCTCTTGAATCTGGGAGGCAGAGGTTGCTGTGAGCTGAGATCGCGCCACTACACTCCAGCCAGGGCGACAGAGCATAAATAACTCCCTTTCAAAAAACCAAACAATGAAACATAGGTTAGCGGAGTCTGCATCCAACATTAGAGTCAGATTGACTAAGTTCTGTATTTCCAGCTGATTCCTGGGCGATGTTGGTGCCACTGGTCTGACCACCCTTTGACAACTGCTGCTCCAGATAATTCAAGTCGGGGTATAACACAACCAGTGAGATGTAAACCAAAGACGATTCCACGGTTAGATTCTCAAGAATGACTTGTTCTGCCGGGCGCGGTGGCTCACGCCTGTCATCCCAGCACTCTGGGAGGCCGAGGTGGGCAGATCACCTGAGATTGGGAGTTTGAGACCAGCCTGACCAACATGGAGAGACCCCCACCTCTACTGAAAATACAAAATTAGCTGGGCATGTTGGTGCATGGTGCATGCCTGCAGTCCCAGCTACTCGGGAGGCTGAGGCAGGAGAATCACTTGAACCCAGGAGGCGGAGGTTGCTGTGAGCCGAGATTGCGCCACCTGGGCAACAAGAGTGAGACTCAGTCTCAAAAAAAAAAAAAAAATGACGTGGTCCTATTTCTCCCACAGGTTGGTGTCTTGTTCCGCTACCACTCAGCAGTGGGCTGATCTCTCCTTGGCCCTTGAAGTCAACCAGTCCCTGACGTGCGTAAACCTCTCCGACAATGAGCTTCTGGATGAGGGTGCTAAGTTGCTGTACACAACTTTGAGACACCCCAAGTGCTTTCTGCAGAGGTTGTCGTAAGTCTCTCCTCTCTTACAGAGCAGCTGTGCTTTCGATCTGGGGCCACAGACGAGCAATGGTCATGCCTGACTTGGCTGTATGGAACCTCTCGCTGATGTGAACACCTGTTCCCATGTTTAGATCCAGGCCGATGGCCTGTGAATTTTGTTCTTCTCTCATTCCTATTCCTTCATAGGATCACCAGTGCATGATAGAAGGTGGGGAGTTCACAAGAAGGGGCTTTTGGATGCTGGCACTTGTGGAGCTAGCCGGGAAGGTTGAAGTTGGACCTGTCAACCGTGTTGCCATTTGTGATTCTTTTGTAGGTTGGAAAACTGTCACCTTACAGAAGCCAATTGCAAGGACCTTGCTGCTGTGTTGGTTGTCAGCCGGGAGCTGACACACCTGTGCTTGGCCAAGAACCCCATTGGGAATACAGGGGTGAAGTTTCTGTGTGAGGGCTTGAGGTACCCCGAGTGTAAACTGCAGACCTTGGTGTAAGTCCGTGCTGGCTGCCTGTGTGCGTGGGTGTATATGCACACGCCCCCCACCTCCGGGTTTGAGTAGGGTGGTTATGAGAACACTTAATTCCTCTAAAAGTTCCAAGCATGATGCTAATGACAACTGGTAAGACCTGGGTAGATGATGGTAGGAAAAAAGTATAAGTAGTAGTAGAGTAGTAGTAATATTCTATAGGGATTTGGGGAATGTAGCTGGTTTTCGGGTTTTTTTTTTCCTCTTTATGTATGTATGTATTTTAGAGATGGGATCTCGCCGTGTTGCCTAGGCTGGTCTCAAACTCCTGAGCTCAAGAGATCTGCCTGCCTTGGCCTCCCAAAGTGCTAGAATTACAGGCATGAGCCATGTCACCCCATGCTGTGTTTTCTCTTAATCTGTGTTCTTAGAACTATAACTGTAACATAAATTGCATGCAATTGGTTGTAAATGGAATTCATTTACTTATTTTTTAATGAATGATTTGCAAATCAGGTAGTCTTCTGGGCCAGTGTACGCTCAGACTCCCAATGGAAGCTATTGGAAGCTACATGCTCAATGTGATCCTCCTTTTAATACTAAAATCACAGGACACGTGGCCTGGCATAGTGGCTCACGCCTATAATCCCATCACCTTGGGAGGCCGAAGCAAGGCAGATCCCTTGAGGGCAGGAGTTCAAGACCAGCCTGCCCAACATGGTGAAACATTGTCTCTCTACTAAAAATACAAAAATTAGTCACGCATGGTGGGACATGCCTGTAATCCCAGTTACTCAGGAGGCTAAGGCAGGAGAATCACTTGAACTTCGGAGGTGGAGGTTGCAGTGAGCTGAGATGGCACCACTGAAGTCCAGTCTGGCCAATAGAGCAAGACTCTCTCAAAAAAAAAAAATTATAGGACAAATCTTTAGAAAGGAATTGGGGCCTGGCATGGTGGCTCATGCCTGTAATCTCAGCACTTTAGGAGGCGGGCAGAACACCTGAGGTCAGGAGTTTGAGACCAGCCTGGCTGATGCAGTGAAACCCTGTCTCTACTAAAAATACAAAAATTAGCTAGGCGTGGTGGTATGGTCCTGTAATCCCAGCTACTTGGGAGGCTGAGGCAGGAGAATCGCTTGAAGTCGGGAGGTTGCAGTGAGCCGAGATCGTGCCAGCCTGGGTGACAGAACGAGATTGTCTCAAAAAAAAAAAAAAATTGTATCTGCACTGATGGTTTCTGTTCAGAGATTCGATTTTATGTTAACATCTCTGGTATTTTTTTTTTTTTTTTTTAAGATGGAGTTTTACTCTTGCCCACGCTGGCAATGGCATGATCTAGGCTCACTGCAACCTCCGGCTTCAAGGAGGTTGATTCTCCTGCCTCAGCCTCCTGAGTAGCTGGGATTACAGGCACTCACCACCACGCCGGGCTAATTTTTATATTTTTAGTAGAGATGGGATTTCACCATGTTGGCCAGGTTGGTCTCGAACTGACCTCATGATCCGCCCGCCTCAGCCTTCCAAAGTGCTAGGATTTACAGGCATGAGCCACTGCGTCCAGCCATACATATCTCTGGTATTCTTTGTCTCTAACATCACCTCCAACAGTTAGGAACTGTCCTCTTCCTATGAAGTAACTAATCTAGGATATGTACCTGGCATCTGAAAACTACCCACTTAAATTTAATGACATATTCAGTTCATGGCTGGAGACGATGAGTAGAAGGAAAGGATTCTTCCCACACCCACTATATCTAGGCCCTGAAACATTAAAAAAGAAGTCCCACAAGCAGTGAGATGTCACCGACTCACTAACTGTATCTTCAAATGAATGTCTAGTTTTTTTGGTTGTGTGTGTGTGTGGTGTGTGGTGTGTGTGGTATTTTTTTGGGGGGGGGGGGGTTTTCTTTTTTTTTTTTTTTTGGTTTTTTTTTTTTGATAGTCTTGCTCTGTCGCCCAGGCTGGAATGCAGTGGCTCCATCTCAGCTCACTGCAACCTCCACCTCCTGAGTTCAGGTGTGATTCTCCTGCCTCAGCCTCCCAGGGATTAAGGTGCATGCCACCACGCCCAGCTAACTTCTTTATTTTTAGTAGAGACGAGTTTTCACCATGTTGGTCAAGCTGGTCTCGAATTCCTGACCTCAGGTGATCCACCCACCTCAGCCTCCCAAAGTGCTGGGATTACAGGTGTGAGCCACCGTGCCGGCCCCCTCAATTCAACTTTTTGATCCATGCCCCTATTTTGCTAAGTTGTCAACTTCCCTTTAGTCTTATGTGGGTTTTCCTCCATTACAGTCATGGAAGTTTCTAGAAGGCCGGGTAGGGTCTTTGAGAGGCCGAGGCAGGTGGATCATGAGGTCAGGAGTTCAAGACCAGCCTGGCCAACATGGTGAAACCCTGTCTTTACTAAAAATACAAAAATTAGCCAGGCGTGGTGTCGGAGCCTGTAATCCCAGCTTACTTGGGAGGGTGAGGCAGAGAATTGCTTGAACCTGGGAGGCGGAAGTTGCAGTGAGCTGAGATTGTGCCACTGTACTCCAGCCTGGGTGTCAGAGCGAGACTGTCTCAAAAAAAAAAAAAAAAAAGTTTCTATACATTCATAAAGTTTCAAGATTTGGGGGTGTGTTTTCACTTCTCCATCGTCATGGACTCCAATCTGCCATCTATTTCCAAGGCCCTTCCAGGTCCTGTGTCCCTCAGCTAGTGGTATGCTTCACTTGGGACCCAGAGATACATGGGCATTATAGTTCAAATTATAATTAAGTTTAGAACTCTATTGAGACAGAAGAAAGAAAACAGAGCTAAGGTGAAATATCTCTGATAATCTGTGTTGGTTAATATCTAGGATCCTAGTACCAGATATGTTGGAGTGTGAGCTGGTGTCTTCTGCCTGTAAGACACTACCTCTCTAGCAACTGAATTTAGCAAATACAATCGTAATCCCAGCATGTTAGGGAGGCCAGGGTGGGCAGATCATCTGAGGTCGGGAGTTCAAGACCAGCCTGGCCAACATGGGGAAACCCTGTCTCTACTAAAAATACAAAACTTAGCTGGGTGTGGTGGCACGCGCATGTGTGTACACACACACACCCCCCTGTAATCCCAGCTACTCGGAAGGCTGGGGCACAAGAATCGCGTGAAACCAGGAGGCGGAGGTTGAAGTGAGCCACCGTGCCAGCTGAGAATCCTTTTTACTTCTCCAACTTCTGTTGGCCACCTGCATTCCTTGGCTTGTGGCCCTTCCTCCAACTTCGGCAGAGCATCTTCAAACGTTGCCCTGGCTCCCTTATCACGTCACCTCCTGCTGGCTTTGACTCTCAGCTCCCTCTTATGAGGATCCCTGTGATTGCTGGACCTACCCAAATAAACCAGGATATAAACCATCTTAAGATGCTCAGTCACCTCTACGAGGTCCCTTTTGCTCGCAGGTGCCAGGAGTTGGGACTTGGACATCTTTAGGGGAGGCCATTCTTCTGTCCACCACACCACCCCATGATTCCATTTCCATGTCACCACTGTCTCTAAGTGTGTCTAACCCACGGCTCAAGAGTCAAAGGTGCATCACAGCAGTGAGAACTCACAGGTTCGGGTTTGCTTTCTTCCTGTGGTTGATTTCTAGGCTTTGGAACTGCGACATAACTAGCGATGGCTGCTGCGATCTCACAAAGCTTCTCCAAGAAAAATCAAGCCTGTTGTGTTTGGATCTGGGGCTGAATCACATAGGAGTTAAGGGAATGAAGTTCCTGTGTGAGGCTTTGAGGAAACCACTGTGCAACTTGAGATGTCTGTGGTGAGTTAACTTATAAGTTCAACTTCCTATACTTACACCTTACTGAATCTGTGGCTAGTGTAAAATAATCAGTGAAGCCGACTTCCCAAGTTATATAATTGAGAGGACCTTTATAGAGTCGATCGAGCATTTACTAGGATGGTTAAAGGAATAAGTTCTAGTCTATGTCTAAGTTTTTGTTTTTTTTTTTCTTGAAGTTTTGCTCTTGTCACATAGGCTGGAGTGCAGTGGCGTGATCTTGGCTCACTGCAACCTCCGCCTCCCAGGTTCAAGCAATTCTCTTGCTTCAGCTTCCCGAGTAGCTGGGATTACAGGCGCCCGCCACCATGCCCAGCTAATTCTTGTATTTTTAGTAGAGACAGGGTTTCGCCATGTTGAAGGTTCATCTCAAACTCCTGACCTCAGGTGATCCGCCCATCTCGGCCTCCCAAAGTGCTGGGATTACAGGCGTGAGCCACTGCGCCAGGCCCTATGTCTAAGTTCTAGTCTGTGTCATGCAAAGAACACCTGTGAAATTTTAAGGATACAGTGCCTCAAGCCATTCAGCCAAAAGCCACTGCCCAGCACCCCACATTCAGAGAGGTGGGAATTGGGCCAGGCACAGTGGCTCATACCTGTAATCCCAGCACTTCGGGAGGCCGAAGCGGGCGGATCACTTAAGGTCAGGAGCTCAAGACCAGCCTGGCCAACTTGAAACTCCATCTCTACTAAAATATAAAAATTAGCCGAGCATAGTAGTGGGTGCCTCTTTTTTTTTTTTTTTTTTTTTTGAGATAGTTTCACTCTTGTTGCCCAGGCTGTAGTGTAATGGCGCGATCTCAGCTCACTGCAACCTCCACCTCCTGGGTTCAAGTGATTCTCCTGCCTTAGCCTCCCACATAGCTGCAAATAAACAGGCATGTGCCACCATGCCTGGCTAATTTTGTATTTTTAGTATAGACGGGGTTTCTCCATGTTGGTCAGGCTGGTCTCGACCTCCGGACCTCAGGTGAGAGCCACCGTGCCCAGCCAGTAGGTGCCTTTAATCCCAGCTACTTGGGAGGCTGAGGCAGGAGAATCACTTGAACCCTGGAGGCAGAGGTTGCAGTGAGCTGAGATCCTGTCACTACACTCCATCCTGGGCTACAAGAGCAAGACTCCATCTCAGGAAAAAATAAAAAAGAGGTAGGAATTAGATATCGTGCCAGAAAATGCTGGCTCTATCAGCAGGTGAGTGGTCTCAACTTGGCTATCTTACAAATACCTTGTGAGTTAGCTACAATCAGATGCACTTGAACCTGGAATCCTATCTGGGAGGCAATCTTAAAAGAATTTGACTCGGGATGGGCAAGGTGGCTCATGCCTGTAATCCTGGCATTTTGGGAGTCCAAGGCAGGTAGATTGCTTGAGGCCAAGAATTTAAAAACAGCCTGGCCAACACAATGAAGCCCTGTCTCTACTGAAAGTACAAAAATCCGCTGAGCATGGCTGTGTACCTCTGCTCCCAGTTACTCAGGAGGCTGAGGTGGGAGGATCACTTGAGCCTGGGAGGAAGAAGTTACAGCGAATTGAGATCACGTCACCTCACTCCAGCCTGGGTGACAGTGAGATCCTGTCTCAAAAAAAAAAAAAAAACAAAAAAAACAAAGGCGCCTTTTTAATCACTCACTGACACGTGTAGAGGAGCAAAAAGTTTGAGTTGCTGGTTGGCCCAGGAGGTCAAGGCTGCAGTGAGCCAAGATGGCGTTACCACACTCCAGCCTGGGCAACCGAGTGAGACCGTGTTTCAAAAAATAAAGTGGCAGGGTGCAGTGGCTCATGCCTGTAATTCCAGCACTTTGGGAGGCCGAGGCAGGTGGATCACCTAAGGTCAGGAGTTCGTAGACCAGCCTGTCTCTACTAAAGAGACAGGTGAAACCCTGTCTCTCTAAAACCACAAAAATCAGGCAGGCATGGTGGCACATAGCTATAATCTCATCTACTTGGAGGCACGAGAACTGCTTGAATCCAGGAGGCAGAGGCTACAGTGAGCCGAGATCATGCCACAGCACTCCAGCCCTGGCGAGAGAGCAAGACTGTCTCAAAGAATAACTTCAAAGATGGAAGTTATTTAACCTCTCTGCTCAAAAGCCTCAGTGCTTCCCTATGTCAATCCAGGTAAAATCCTATATTGACGATGGCTTCAGGGTCTTCTGTGAGCTGGCCACTGCTTACCTATGACCTCATCTTGACAATCCTCCCTGTCTCACTCATGCCCGCTGCCTGGATGTTCTATTTTACGTGTCAGTCACATGTATCTTCAGGGCCTCTGCACAAGCTATTTCTCTGCCTGGAGAACTCCCCCCCGAGCTCTATGACTCGGTCTCTTCACCCCCTCACCTCCAACCATTGTAGCCAGAACCCCCAGTTATTCCCTGTACCCCTTGCCCTTCAGAACCCCTCATCGCCTCCATATTTTCCTGTTAGCAGATGAGCCCTGAGGGCGGAGACGTTTTGTTTGTTTTTTGAGACCGGAGTCTCACTCTGTCACCCAGGCTGGAGTGCAATGGCGCGATCTCGGCTCACTGCAACCTCCGCCTCCTGGGTTCAAGCGATTCTCCTGCCCCAGCCTCCTGAGTAGCTGGGATTACAGGTGCCTGTCACCACGCCCAGCTAACTTCTGTATATTTAGTAGAGACACGGTTTTACCATGTTAGGTTGGTCTTGAACTCCTTGACCTCAGGTGATCCATCCACCTCGGCCTCCCAAAGTGCTGGGATTACAGGCGTGAACCACCGTGCCCGGCCTGAGACTTCTGTTGGTCATGCAGATCCCCAACACACGAGGGTGGGCTTGGCTTGCCGGAGGGCATCGATCAGCACTGGCTGCATTAACGTGTTGATTTCTGTGTTTCCCCAGGTTGTGGGGATGTTCCATCCCTCCGTTCAGTTGTGAAGACCTCTGCTCTGCCCTCAGCTGCAACCAGAGCCTCGTCACTCTGGACCTGGGTCAGAATCCCTTGGGGTCTAGTGGAGTGAAGATGCTGTTTGAAACCTTGACATGTTCCAGTGGCACCCTCCGGACACTCAGGTATGATCCATTTACTTCCCCATCAGGCTTTCTCCAGAGTGGTAGGTTTAGGGGAAGCATAATGACATGGACCTGCTGTAGGAGACTGATCTGGTAGCTGGATTACAGGTTCCCGCCATCACACCCAGCCAATTTCTGTATTTCACTTGGAGAAACGGGGTTTCACCATGTTGGTCAGGCTGGTCTCAAACTCCTGACCTCAGGTGATCCGCCCGCCTCGGCCTCCCAAAGTGCTGGGATTACAGGCGTGAGCAACCGCACCCGGCCACCTTTTTTTTTTTTTTCCTTTGAGGCAAGAACTCACTATGTTCCCCAGGCTGGAGTCCAGCAGCACAATGATGGCTCGCTGCAGGCTCGCTCCAGCTCCTGGGCTCAAGCAATCCTGCCTCAGTTCCTGAGTAGGTAGGTTTATAAGCATGAACCATTGCACCCAGCCACGGCTGCCGTCTACCTGCTCATGATAGCCATTTGTCACTGGGCTGTGTTTTGTTTGTTGCATTTTGTCAGGGTTTTGGGGTTTTGTTTTGTTTTTTCTTTCTTTTTTTTTTTTTTTTTCTGAGATGGAGTCTCACTCTGTTGCCCAGGCTGGGGTGCAGTGGTTGCTAACTGCAACCTCCACCTCCCAGGTTCCAGCTATTCTCATGCTTCAGCCTCCCAAGTAGCTGGGATTACAGGCATGCACCACCACACCTAGGTAATTTTTGTATTTTTAGTAGAGACAGGGTTTTGCCATGTTGGCCAGGGTGGTCTCAAACTCCTGACCTCCGTGATTTGCCCACCTCAGCATCCCAAAGTGCTGGGATTACAGGCATGAGCCACCGCACCCGGCCTGAGTTGTATTTTGATACCATGGCATCAAAGAACCAAGAAGCCCCTTCCTAGGAATGTGGGAACTTCAGAAATTCTCACAAGCAATATACTCTACTGCTGGCTTAAAATAATCTTTATGTAGAAGAAACATAGATTACTTGTTTATTTAACATGAAACTCAGCCTAAGATACTTTGTAAGTCAAAAGACATATGGACACTAAGGGTTTTTTTAAGCTTTAAGTTTGTTTGTTTGTTTATTTATTATTTATTTTGGAGACAGTTTTACTCTTTTTTTTGGGGTGCATCTTTTTTCTTTTTTTTTTTTTTTTTTCCTTTTTTTTTTTTTTTTTTTTTATTGATCATTCTTGGGTGTTTCTCACAGAGGGGGATTTGGCAGGGTCATAGGACAATAGTGGAGGGAAGGTCAGCAGATAAACAAGTGAACAAAGGTCTCTGGTTTTCCTAGGCAGAGGACCCTGCGGCCTTCCGCAGCGTTTGTGTCCCTGGGTACTTGAGATTAGGGAGTGGTGATGACTCTTAACGAGCGTGCTGCCTTCAGGATCTGTTTAACAAAGCATATCTTGCACCGCCCTTAATCCGTTTAACTCTGAGTGGACACAGCACATGTTTCAGAGAGCACGGGGTTGGGGGTAAGGTCACAGATCAACAGGATCCCAAGGCAGAAGAATTTTTCTTAGTACAGAACAAAATGGGGGGCTGACCCCCCCACCTCCCTCCCGGACAGGGCGGCTGGCCGGTTAGAGGGGCTCCTCACTTCCCATTAGGGGCGGCCGGGCAGAGGCGCCCCTCACCTCCCGGACAGGGCGGCTGGCTGGGCGGGGGGCTGACCCCCCCACCTCCCCGCCCGGCCAGAGTTTTACTCTTGTTGTCCAGCCTGGAGCGCAATGGCGCTATCTCGGCTTACTGCAACCTCCGCCTCCCGGGTTCAAGAGGTTCTCCTCCCTCAGCCTCCCAAGTAGCTGGGACTACAGGCATGTGCCACCACACCTGGCTAATCTTGTATTTTTAATAGAGACAGGGTTTCTCCATATTGGTCAGGCTGGTCTCGAACTCCTGACTTCAGGTGACCCGCCTGCCTCAGCCTCCCAAAGTGCTAAGATTACAGGCGTGAGCCACCATGCCTGGCCTGCATCTCCTCTGTTTAACTGGTACTCCGGGGTCCACTGAGTAGAAGTTGCCAAAGTGGGTGATAGAGCGGGTAAGCAGGTATTAGAGCTATAGCCCAGCTGTACTCAGCAATTCCATTTTCTGTGTATGATAATCAACAAGCATCTCAAACTGCACAATGGCTATATACCATTACAAGGTTAACCTGATGTTATGTTTTTCTCTATCAGATCAACATGGTTGAGAATAAGAGGAATGAAAAAAAGGATTAAAAAGAGAAATGAAAGTCTTTAATATTACATTTTATTATTTACTTCATTTATTTTTTAGACAAAAATCTCACTCTATTGCTCAGGCTGGAGTGCAGGGGCCCGATCTCAGCTCACTGTAACCTCCGCCTCCCAGGTTCAAGTGATTCTCCTGTGTCAGCTTCCTGAGTAGCTGGGATTATAGGGATGCACCATCACACCCAACTAACTTTTATATTTTTAGTAGAGATGGACTTTCACCATCTTGCCTAGGCTGGTCTCAAACTCCTGACCTCAAGTGATCTGCCCACCTCACTCTCCCAAAGTGCTGGCATTACAGGCATGACCCACCACATCTGGCCTCATTTTATATTTAAAAATAAAAAATAAGCAAATCAAGCCAGGTACAGTTTAGGCAACATGGTAAAACCCCAACTCTACTAAAAATACAAAAATTAGCTGAGCATGGTGGCAGGTGCCTGTAGTCCCAGCTACTCGGGAGGCAGAGGATAGGATGGCTTGAACCCAAGAGGCACAGGTTGCAGTGAGCTGAGATGGTACCACTGCACTCCAGCTTGGGCAACAGAGAGACTGTCTTTTTTTTTTTTTTTTTTTTTTTTTTTTTTTTTTTTTTTGAGATCGCCCAGGCTGGAGTACAGTGGCACGATCTCGGCTCACTGCAAGCTCCGCCTCCCGGGTTCACACCATTCTCCTGCCTCAGCCTCCTGAGTAGCTGGGACTACAGGCGTCCGCCACCACGCCCGGCTAATTTTTTGTATTTTTTTAGTAGAGACAGGGTTTCACCGTGTTAGCCAGGATGGTCTTGATCTGCTGACCTCGTGATCCACCCGCCTCAGCCTCCTAAAGTGCTGGGAATTACAGGCGTGAGCCATCACGCCCCACCTGAGACTGTCTTTTAAAAAAAAAAAAAAAAAATCAATGTGGAACACTCCTTTGCCACCTAGAATAATCAGGAAAGGTGACCCATGCCCTGTGCCTCCTTAACAGACTTTCAGGTACTTGGGAATTTGAAACAAATCTCCTTGATGCACAAAGTAACCTTTTCTTCCCCCATTGTACCCCAGGTTGAAAATCGATGACTTTAATGATGAACTCAATAAGCTGCTGGAAGAAATAGAAGAAAAAAACCCACAACTGATTATTGATACTGAGAAACATCATCCCTGGGCAGAAAGGCCTTCTTCTCATGACTTCATGATCTGAATCCCCCCGAGTCATTCATTCTCCATGAAGTCATCGATTTTCCAGGTGTTGGTGAACTGCCTGTGACTCCTCTCCTCCCCGGCCCCTACCCCTCAGGGATAATGAGTTCATTGCTGGGCTAGATGTTTTAGCCATGATTCTGCCTCTGTTTTATACCTGCACACATCCTTATCTTTGTTACATATGAAATATCTGTATCACGGGTATATTGAGAGAAATAAAGGTGAGAGCATTCACAAATGAAGCTGTTACTTAATAATGGGCTTTGACAAGTTAGAGAAAAGATATCTTACTGGGTAGAACCTGGGGGGTGGGGGAAGTGACAGTGTTTAATTGCATTGATTTCTATTGCCTTGTCAATCTTTGCCTTGCCTTGGTATTTCCTTTCTTTTTTCTTTTCTTTTTTTTTTTTTTTTTTTTTAGACTGAGTTTCACTCTGTTGCCCACGCTGGAGTACACTGGCACGATCTCAGCTTACTACAACCTGGCAGGTTCAAGCGATTCTCCTGTCTCAGCCTCCTGAGTAGCTGGGATTACAAGCATCCCCCACCACACCCGGCTAAATTTTTTTGTATTTTTAATAGAGATGAGGTTTCACCATGTTGGCCAGTCTGGTCTCAAACTCCTGACCTCAAGTGATCCACCCACCTCAGCCTCCCAGAGTGCTGGGATTACAGGCATGAGCCACTGTACCCGGCTTTTTTTTTTTTCTTTTTCTTTTTCCTCAAGCATGAGTGTTGCTCTGTTGCCCAGGCTGGAATACAGCAGCATGATGATAGCTCACTGCAGCCTCAAGCTCCCAGGTTCAAGCGATCCTCCAGCCTCAGCCTCCTCAGTAGCTGGGACTACAGGTGCACACCACCAAACCAGGCCAATTTTTGTGGGATTTTTTTTGAAGACAGGGTCTCACTATGTTGCCCAGGCTGATCTCAAACTCCCAGGCGCAAGTAATATTCCTGCCTCAGCCTCCCAAAGTGCTAGGATTACAGGTGTGAACCACTGTGCCTAGCCTGTCTTGTTACTTGTTGACCTGCGTGGATCACTGCCTGCTGAGTATTACTTGCCAGAGGATTTCTCCTACCAATCTACAATATTTTAGGTGCTTCGGTGTAGCTCATATATGACCATGTCATTGCTCTGATTTTGCTTTTTAAAAATTCTAACTTAAAATAGAATCTCGGCCAGGCACGGTGGCTCACACCTGTAATCCCAGCACTTCGGGAGGCTGAGGTGGGTGGATCACGAAGTCAGGAGTTGGAGACCAACCTGGCCAACGTGGTGAAACCCCGTCTCTACTAAAAATATAAAAAATTAGCCAGGCATGGTGGCACATGCCTGTAATCCCAGCTACTTGGGAGGCTGAGGCAGGAGAATTGCTTAAACCCAGGAGGTGGATGTTGCACTGTGCTGAAGACTGCACTACTGCATTCCAGCTTGGGCAACAGAGTGACTCCTTCTCCAAAAAAAAACAAAATCTCATGGTATGCATAGTTTTTCACTATAGAGTCTCCATTATTTCCTTGTGATACAGAATTCCAAATTCAACAAAGCAGCAGTGCAAGCTCTACGCTGTAAAACCACAAACAAAACGAACTGTACTATAAAGACAACACTAGTTGGCAAAGTTGCTTCTCATGGGGAGACTTTGTTGCTGTCTGTGTTTACTGGATGAGCAAACAAATGGACGGTAAGGGGGAAAAAGAACAGTACAAATTTTTATTAAACACTAATCATGTTTTTTTTTGTTTGTTTTGAGACAGTTTCTTCTTGTTGCCCAGGCTGGAGTGCAATGGCACGATTTTGGCTCACTGCAACCTCCGCCTCCCCGGGTTCAAGCGATTCTCTTGCCTCGACCTACTGAGTAGCTGGGATTATAGGCATGTGCCACCAAGCCTGGCTAATTTTGAATTTTTAGCAGAGACGGGGTTTTTCCATGTTGGTCAGGCTGGTCTCGAACTCCCGACCTCAGGTGATCCACCAGCCTTGGTCTCCCAAAGTGCTGGGATTACAGGTATAAGTCACCGCACCTGGCAACATTTTTTTCTTTTTTTTTTTTTTTTTTTTTTTTTTTTTTGGTGGCAGAATCTTGCTCTTTCACCCAGGCTGGAATGCAATGGCACGATCTCGGGTCACTGCAGCCTCCACCTCCCCAGTTTAAGCAGTTCTCCCATCTCAGCCTCCCATGTAGCTGGGACCACAGGTGTGCACCACTGCACCCAGGTAATTTTTGCATTTTTGGTAGAGATAGGGTTTTGCCACGTTGTCCAGACTGGTCTTGAACTCCTGAGCTCAGGTGATCTGCCCACCTTGGCCTCCCCAAATGCTGGGATTATAGGCATGAGCCACCACACCTGGTCAAAAGTAGTTTTAATATTTAAATTTAAAACTAAAAAAGTTAATCTCTCTTCCTACTTTCATTTCTTCATCAGGGGCTATTGGTTTATTCCCACCGACTAGATCCAAGTTCTCTGATACTACCTTTAAACCACTCCATCACTTTCCAGTTCCACTGCATACAGTGTGGGCTTCTGAGGTTTCCTGGTTCAAGGTGTCCTTGTTCAATGCGGCATGGGTCATTCCCTGAGCATTTTTTTTTTTTTTTGACAGTCTCGCTCCATTGCCCGGTTTGGAGTGCAGTGGTGTGACCTCGGCTTACTGCAGCCTCTGCCTCCCAAGTTCAAGCAATTCTGCCTCAGGCTCCCGGATAATTTTTGCATTTTTAGTAGAGACAGGGTTTCACCGCGCTGGCCAGGCTGGTCTCGAACCCCTAACCTCAAGCGATCTGCCTGCCTCGGTCTCCCAAAGTGCTGGGATTACAGACATAAGCTACCGTGCCCGGCCTCCAGAGCATCTTTATTCTCAGTTTCAGCGGGAAGAAGGGGGAAGGTTGGTAAAAAGAGAGGCACAAAGTTTAAAAAGGACATTGCGTGAAGAAACTAAAGGTTTCTCCTTCTCCACACTATTGACATTTGGGATCGGATCACTACTCGTTGGGAAACGTCCTGTACATTTCCAGGGTGTTCGGCACCATCCCTAGCCTCTACCCCCTAGATACCAGCTCACATCCTCACAGTTAACAGTGATCAAAAATGTCTCTGGGCAGTAGAAAATATTTCCTGAAATGCAAAGTTTTCTTAGGTTGAGAACCATTGTAATCTAGCCCCATCTTTAGAGAAGAAATTGAGTAACGGATCTACATCCATTGAGGAACTATCGACACCCCAGGGGCCCATGAAATGTAAACTCGCACTCACAATTAACCATCTTTCTCCAACGTGTGTATTTCATGTAGCCACACTCTCAGATGCCCACCCCCATGACCTACAAGTCCTAAACAGGGAAACCTGTGGCACATGGGTTCATGTGTGTCTGAATCTATACGTTCAGAGATGAACAAGTACTGCTCTCCCTATACCTGTGACCACTCGCCTCCGCCCATCACTGAATTCTGAAAATGTGGCCTCAGGCTCACAGCAGCATTAGCACTTGCTTGCTCTGGATCTCATCACATTGATGATCAAGAACAAAGTATTCACTGGGTTCTCTGCTAAGGATACAAAAAAAACCATTCCACAATTCCACGGCCATGTTTGCACCCAGGAACCACGAGGGCTGGGTTAGCCCAGATGGTGGGCTTGGGAAATGTTCCTGGAGCAAAAAAAAGAGCCAGAAGTCATGAGAGCCTGACCCCCTCCCCCAACGCGCACACACACACACCACTCTCTACCTCCAAGCCTCATTTTCAGGCTTCTCAAAGCTAAGGTCACTCCCATGAGCTAAGCCGCGCTTTTCTCAATCCTCAGCTCTTCCACAAGAATAGGAAGAACTCTCTCCTGTTCAAGATCCTGTGGCTCAGCTGCAGCTCTGGAAGAAAGACCCCGGTGAGGGTCTTGCTTTTCACAATCCCCAATCCCAGACCACATCCTGTGCCCCAAAACAACTTCCATGGTAACCACATCCTTCAGGAAGTGAAGTCAGGCAGGAAGTCAAGTCAGAAGACGGAATGGGCTGGGCATGGTGGATCGCACCTGTAATCCCAGCACTTTGGGAGGCAGAGGCAGGTGGATCACATGAGGTCAGGAGTTTGAGACCAGCCTGGCCAACATGGTGAAACCCTGTCTCTACTAAAAATACCAAAAGTAGCCAGGCTTGGTGGTGCATGCCTGTAATCCCAGCTACTCTGGAGGCTGAGGCAGGAGAATCGCTTAAACCCGGAAGGCGGAGGTTGCAATGAGCCGAGATCGCACCATTGCACTCCAGCCCGGGGGACAGAAAAAAAAATGTAGCTGAGCATGGTAGTGCACGTCTGTGATCTCAGCTACTTGGGAGTCTGAGGCAGGAGAATCACTTGAACCCAGGCGGTGGAGGTTGCAGTGAGCCAAGATTGTAATAGTCCAATGTGTTCACCTTGCCCACTGCCTAGACAGAGCTGATTCGTCAAGACAGGGAATCGCAATAGAGAATAATTCATGCAGAGCTGGCTCTACGAGAGACCAGAGTTTTATTATTATTCAAATCAGTGTCTCCCAGCATTCAGGAAGCGTTTTTAAGGATAACTTGGTGGGTGGGTGGGAAGCCAGTGAGCCAGGAGTGCTGTTTGGTCAGGGATGAAATCGTGGGAGCCAAAGCTATCTTCTTGCACTCAGTTCCTGAGTGGAGGCCAAAAGATAAGATGGGCCAGTTTATTGATATGGGTGGTGCCAGCTGATCCATCAAGTACAGGGTCTGCAAGTTAAACGCTGATCTTAGAAGCAGTTTAGGGAGGGTCACAATCTTGTAGCCTCCAGCTGCATGACTCCTAAGTCATAATTTCTAATCTCGTGGCTAATGTTCGTCCTACAGGGCCAATCTAGTCCCCAGGCAACAAAGAGGTGTGCTTTGGAAAAGGGCTATCATCTTTGTTTAAACTATAAGTTTCTCCCAAAGTTCAGCCTATGCCCAGGAATGAAAAAGGACAGCTTGGAGGTTAGAAGCAAAATGGAGTCAGTTAAATCTCTTTCACTGTCTCAGTCATAATTTTGGAAAGGTGGTTTCAAGCTGGCACAACTGCACTCCACCCTAGGAGACAGAGCGAGACCCTGTCAAAAAAAAAAAAAAAAAACAAGAAGTGAAGTCAAGATAGGAGGTAAATTCGGAAGACAGGAAGTGGTGGTAGAAGACAAGAAGTGAAGTCATACAGGAAGTAAAGTCAGAAGACAGGAAGTGAAGTAAGAAGACAGGAAGTGGTTGTAGAAGACAGGAAGTGAGGTCATACAGGAAGTAAAATCAGAAGACAGGAAGTGACGTCAAACCAGGATTTGCAGTCGGAGGCAGGCAAGAAGTGAAATCAGAAGACGGGAAGTGGCTGAGGGGAACGTCTTTTCTCTCTCCTGCTCAGCCCGAAGTGAACAGGTAGCATCAGGTGTGCCATTTCAGTGACTGGGCACAGCCCAGGCACCCACATCTCTCTGCAGCGCCTATTCTTGGAACACCAGAGACCTCTACACTATTTTCTGTTGCTTTTTTCCTTCATTTTCAGAGATGAGATCCTGGATTGAATGACTACTATGGAAAGTGATTGACCAAGGTAAGTCACAACTATCTTGTTCTTTAATTTTGGTGTTGTTTGTTATGACTTGTTAGCCGTCTAGCACTCATAGCTTTGCATTTCCACTCTGCATTACTTGTATTTTTATTATTTTGTGATATTCGTAATAATTTATTATAAAACTGTGTTATTTTTGGATATTTTTAAGTTAAAATGCGATTTTTTAACTAAGTGGCAGTATGCAAAGCAAGTGGTTCAGAACTCTCCCCCATTAATAAGTCTTCTCTCCTGAAAGAAACAATTTTGAGACTTCCTGTTCTTAATTCTGTTTAACAGCATACTTCTAAAAGAAAAAGTGTATACTGTTATTATTTATTGTGTTACAAAAATATACACGCACCTTTCATGCACGTCCGTGTGAAGAGACCACCAAACAGGCTTTGTGTGAGCAATAAAGCTTTTAATCACCTGGGTGCAGGTGGGCTGAGTCTGACAAGAGAGTCAGCGAAGGGGGATAGGGGTGGGGCCGTTTTATAGGATGTGGGTAGGTAAAGGAAAATTACAGTCAAAGGGGGGTTGTTCTCTGGCGGGCAGAGTCGGGGTCATAAGGTGCTCAGTAGGGGAGCTTTTGAGCCAGGATGAGCCAGGAGAAGGAATTTCACAAGACAATGTCATCAGTTAAGGCAGGAACAGGCCATTTTCGCTTCTTTTGTGGTGGAATGTCATCAGTTAAGGCACGAACCGGCCATCTGGATGTGTACGTGCAGGTCACAGGGGATATGATGGCTTAGCTTGGGCTCAGAGGCCTGACATTCCTGTCTTCTTATATTAATAAGAAAAATAAAATGAAATAGGGGTAAAGTGTTGGGACAGCAAAAATTTTTGGGGGTGGTATGGAGAGATAATGGGTGATGTTTCTCAAGGCTGCTTTGAGCAGGATTAGGGGCGGCGTGGGAACCTAAAGTGGGAGCGATTAAGCTGAAGGAAGATTTTGTGGTAAGGGGTGACATTGTGGGATTGTTAAAAGAAACATTTGTCATTTAGAATTATTGGTGATGGCCTGGATACAGTTTTGTATGAATTGAAAAACTAAAGGGAATAAGGAAAGGAGAAAAACAGGTATTAAAGGTCTAAGAATTGGGACGACTCAGGACATCTAATTAGAAAGTGCCTAAGGAGGTTCAGCATAGCCTTGCCAGCAAAGATTATTTATTTATTTTAAGAGTTAACAGTGGCGGTATGGGGATAGTACCAGGAGATACCAGCTGTGCTGGCTTGGAGAAACAGTGTAAACTGGCAGTGTAAACAAGAGCAGGGCATGTGTGAGTAGTTGAGAACGGTGAATAGGAGTATGACTAGACAGAAGATAGTAGGGATGACAAGTTTTTTGGGGCACAATCTAAGTTGGTCTGGTGTCTGGAATGAGACTGGGGCCTAATAAAAAGGAGTGTCTACACAGGAGCTTAAATGGGCTGTATCTTGTAGCATTCCAAGGACAGGCCTGAATTCTGGAAGCGAAAATGGTAAAAGTATTGTCCAGTCCTTTTTAAGTTGGTGGCTGAGCTTGGTGAGGTGTGTTTTTAATAGACCATTAGTCTGTCACTGAATACTAAGAGCCTGAAAAAATGCTTGGCTGATTTGACTAATAAAGGCTGGTCTGTTAGCAGACTGTATAGAGGTGGGAAGGCTGAACTGAGGAATTTTGTCTGACAGAAGGGAATGACAAGGCTAAACTGAAGAATTATGTCTGACAGAAGGGAAGAAATGACTGCGGTGGCCTTCTCAGACCCTGTAGGAAAGGACTGTACTTACCCAGTGAAAGTGTCTACCTAGACTAAGAGGTATTTTAGTTATCTTACTCGGGGCATGTTGAGTAAAGCTAATTTGCCAGTCCTGGGCGGGGGCAAATCCTTGAGCTTGATGTGTAGGGAAGGGAGGGGGCCTGAATAATCCATGAGGAGTAGTAGAATAGCTGATGCAACACTGAGAAGTGATTTCTTTGAGGATAGATTTCCACAATGGAAAGGAAATGAGAGGTTCTAAGAGGCTGGCTAGTGGCTTGTACCATAGCATAGCCTGCCTTTGCTGGTGTGTGGCGATTAGGCCTGGTGGAACCGCCATCAATAAACTAAGTGTGATCAGGGTGAGAAACAGGGAAGAAGGAAATGTGGGGAAATGGGGTGAACGTCAGGTGGATCAGAGAGATGCAGTCATGGGGGTCAGGTGTGGTATCTGGAATAATGTGGGAGGCCAGATTGAAGTCCGGGCCAGGAACAATGGTAATTGTGGGACTTAACAAAGAGTGAGTACAGCTGAAGGAGCCAGGGAGCAGAAAGTATATGCATCAGGTGTGAGTAAGAAAATAGATTTTGGAAATTATGAGAGCTGTAGAGAGTGAGTTGAGCATAGTTTGTGATTTTGAGGGCCTCTAAAAGTATTAAAGCAGCGGCAGCCACAGCACGCAGATATGAGGGCTAGGCTAAAACAGTAAGGTCAAGTTGTTTGGACAGAAAGGCTACAGGGTGTGGTCCTGGCTCTTGTGTAAGAGTTCTGACCGCGCTAACCATGCCTAGGAAGGAAAGGAGTTGTTGTTTTGTAGAAGGTGCTGGGGCTTGAGAGATCAGTCAGACACGATCAGCAGGGAGAGCACGTGTGTTTTTATGAGAATTATGCCGAGATAGGTAACAGATGAGGATGAACTTTGGGCTTGACTGAAGTAATGGGGGCTGTCTGTGAAACCTTGCAGCAGTACAGCCCAGGTAATTTGCTGAGCCTAATGGGTGTCAGGGTCAGTCCAAGTGAAAGCGAAGAGAGGCTGGGACGAGGGGTGCAGGGGAATAGTGAAAAAAGCATCTTTAAGATCAAGCATGGAATAGTGAGTTGTGGAGGAAGGTATTGAGGACAAAAGAGTGTAGGGGTTGGGCACCACAGGGTGCATAGGCAAAACAATTTGATAAGGCGCAGATCCTGAACTAATCTGTAAGACTTTTCCGGTTTTTGGACAGGTAAAATGGGGGAATTGTAAGGAGAGTTTATAGGTTTTAGAAGCCCATGCTATAGCAGGCGAGTGATAACAGGCTTTAATCCTTTTAAAGTGTGCTGTGGGATGGGATATTGGCATTGAGCAGGGTAAGGGTGATTAGGTTTTAATGGGATGGTAACGGGTATGTGATCAGTTGCCAGGGAAGGAGTAGAGATGTCCCATACTTGTGGGTTAAGGTGGGGGAATAGGAGAGGAAGACGCGAAGGAGGCTTTGGGTTGAGGAGAAGGGTGGCAATGAGATGCGGCTGTAGTCCAGGAATAGTCAGGGAAGCAGATAATTTGGTTAAAATATCTCGGCCTAATAAGGGAACTGGGCAGGTGGGGATAACTAAAAAAGAGTGCATAAAAGAGTGTTGTCCAAGTTGGCACCAGAGTGGGGGAGTTTTCAGGGGTTTAGAAGCCTGGCCGTCAATACCCACAACAGTTATGGAGGCAAGAGAAACAGGCCCTTGAAAAGAAGGTAATGTGGAGTGGGTAGCCTCCGTATTGACTAAGGCGACGGACTTACCTTCCACCGTGAGTGTTACCCGAAGCTCGGCATCCGTGATGGTCTACAGAGCTTCCGAGGCGATTGGGCAGCATCAGTCTTCAGCCGCTAAGCCGAGAAGGAGTCAGAGAGCCTTGGGCCAGAGTTCCAGGGGCTCTGGGAGTGGCTGCCAGGTGAGTTGAACAGTCCGATTTCCAGTGGGGTCCCGCACAGATGGGACACGGCTTAGGAGGAATCCTGGGCTGCAGGCATTCCTTGGCCTGGTGGTCAGATTTCTGGCACTTGTAGCAAGCTCCTGGGGGAGGAGGTTCTGGAGGAACGCCTGGCCGCTGCGGTTCAGTTCCCTTCTTGTGTGCTGGAGATGTGGCTGGGGTTTGTCTCACAGTGGAGGCAAGGAATTGCAACTTTTTTCTATTATTGTACACCTTGAAGGCGAGGTTAATTAAATCCTGTTGTGGGGTTTGAGGGCCGGAATTTAATTTTTGGAGTTTTATTTAATGTCGGGAGCAGATTGGGTAATAAAATGTGTATTAAGAATAAGACGGCCTTTTGACTTTTAAGGGTCTAGGGCTGTAAAGCTTCTCAGGGTTGCTGGCGAACGAGCCATGAATTGGGCTGGATTTTTATATTTGATGAAAAAGAGCCTAAACACTATCTGATTTGGGATAAAGAAAAAGGAGCATTAACCTTGACTATGCCTTTAGCTCCAGCCACCTTTCTAAGAGTAAATTGCTGGGCAGGTGGAAGAGGGCTAGTCACTGAACGAAACTGTAAGCTGGACCAGGTGTGGGGAGGGGAGGTGATAAAAAGATAATACGGTGGAGGAGCGGAGGCTGAGGAAGAATTGGGACCTAGCTCAGCCTGGGGAGGAGGGAGAGGTCAGACGGGTCTGTAGAAAAGGAAGATTAGAAAGACTCAGCGACGCTTGGGGTTGAGACTGAGGGGACAGGCAGGAGGGAAAGAAGGAAGATTTGGGACGAGTTGCACTGGGCACAGAGACTAGGAAGGGACTGATGTGTAAAAGAATGCCTGGACGTCAGGCACCTCAGACCGTTTGCCCATTTTACGACAAGAATTATTTAGATCTTGCAGGATGGAAAAATTGAAAGTGCTGTTTTCTGGCTATTTGGAACTGCTGTCCAGTTTGTATTGGGGTCAAGCGGCATTGCAGAAGAAAATAAGGCATTTAGGTTTTAGGTCAGGTGTGAGTTGAAGAGGTTTTAAGTTTTTGAGAACACAGGCCAAGGGAGAGAAGGAGGAGGAATGGAGGGTGGAAGGTTGCCCATAGTGAAGGAGGCAAGCCTAGAGAAAAGAGAGAGTAGAGACACGGAGGGAAGGGGTTCGGGAGTTCTTACCTTCCAGAAAAGCGGGAAAGGGGTTGGGGCATGGATATAAGGGGTTGGGGCACAGAGATAAGAGGTTGGGGCATGGAAATAAGGGATCAGGGTGCAGAGATACGAGGTTGGGGTACTTGCCCCTCTAGAAAAGCGGGACTTGCCGCTAAGAGTGAAGGAGAAGGGGTTGGGGGTTTCTTGCCCCCCAGAAAGGTGGAGAAGGGGTAGAGACATGGAGAGGAGGGGTTGGGGAACTTGCCCCTTCCCCAGAAAAGTGGGACTTGCCACTAAGGGTGAAGGACCAAGGCAGGCATCCCTGCGTGATCTGACACCTCTGAAGCGTGGGTATATAATCAGAGAGGCGTCCCTGCAATGATTAAACGCCAAGGGAAGGCTGCCTTCCCTAGTCCGTGACCGGCGCCGGAGTTTTGGGTCCACAGATAAAACGTGTCTCCTTTGTCTCTACCAGAAAATGAAAGGAATTGAAATTAAGAGAAGGGAGAGATTGAAGAGTGGAAAGGAGAAAGTGGTTGAGGGACAGTGAGAGAGGTTGGAGAAGAGAGTAAGAAGAGGTCGCTTACCCAATTTAAACTTGGTGAGATGTTCCTTGGGCTGGTGGGTCTGAGGACCTGAGGTCGTAGGTGGATCTTTTTCACAGAGCAAAGAGCAAGACAGGGGATTGATCTCCCAAGGGAGGTCCCCCGATCCAAGTCACGGCACCAAATTTCATGTGCGTCCATGTGAAGAGACCACCAAACAGGCTTTGTGTGAGCAATAAAGCTTTTAATCACCTGGGTGCAGGTGGGCTGAGTCCGACAAGAGAGTCAGCGAAGGGGGATGGGGTGGGGCCGTTTTATAGGATTTGGGTAGGTAAAGGAAAATTACAGTCAAAGCGGGGTTGTTCTCTGGCGGGCAGAGTGGGGGTCACAAGGTGCTCTGTAGGGGAGCTTTTGAGCCAGGATGAGCCAGGAGAAGGAATTTCACAAGACAATGTCATCAGTTAAGGCAGTAACAGGCCATTTTCACTTCTTTTGTGGTGGAATGTCATCAGTTAAGGCAGGAACCAGCCATATGGATGTGTACGTGCAGGTCACAGGGGATATGATGGCTTAGCTTGGGCTCAGAGGCCTGACAGCACCTACCTAAAAAATTCCAATAGCACTAAAAGGGTGTGTACAAAATGCAGTGGCTGACTAACCATCTCCTCCATTGCTCCGCCTAAGAGACACCCACTTTTAGCTGTTTTCTTTAGGAACTTGTTAATATTAGGTTTCTAAAAACATGTAACCATGTGAATGAGCTTAGACTTACTGGATTCCTATCATAATAGGCGGGGCCTTAGTTATTCTACAGCGTTGTTCTTACTGTTTTTTCTCTTCCAATGTTTATCTCTATGTCTGCATATCAACATTCAGTATCACATTTTTTTTTTTTGAGACAGAGTCTCACTCTGTCACCCAGGCTGGAGTGCAGTGGCGCAATCTCAGCTCACTGCAGCCTCAGTCTCCTGAGTAGCTGGGACTACAGGCGTGTGCCACCACGACTGGCTAATTTTTGTATTTTTAGTAGAGACAGGGTTTCACCATGTTGGCTGAGCTGGTCTCGATCTCCTGACCTCGTGATCTGCCCACCTCAGCCTCCCGAAGTGCTGGGATTACAGGCATGAGCCACCACGCCCGGCCAGTATCACATGTTTATACCCACAGATATTCGCAGCCGAGAATTTTCGGGTAATATAACTTGCTTCTTTTATTTTTGTTGTTGTTATTGTTCCCCTAAAGTTTATATTTGTTTTTTATTTTTATTTTCTTTTGAGGCAGGGTCTCACTCTGTCACCCAGGTTTGACAGCAGTGGTGCAATCATGGCTCACTGCAGCCTCAACCTCCCCGGGCTCAGGTGATCCCCAACCTCAGCCTCCTGAGTACCTGAGAGTAGGCATGTGGTACCACACCCAGCTAATTTTTTATATTTTTTGTATATGAGACAAGGTTTCACCATGTTGCCCAGGCTGGTCTCGAACTCTTAGGCTCAAGCGATCCCGCCTCAGCCTCCCAAAGTGCTGGGATTACAGGTGTGAGCCACTGTGCCTAGGCTATACTGGTCTTTTTAAAATCTACTTAGTTTACTTGACCTCTAAAATTATTTTTCCTCTGTCTTCTGATAGCATCTCAGTATGATTTTCCACTATGTTAAGACGAGGAATTGACCCATTCTTACATTTGGAGGCTTCTCTAAGCAACTTTCCCATTCCCCCTTCACCCAAGCTGTGTGCTCACTAGCCCTGATTCACAGCCGTCGTCCTGGAACTTCTTGGTGCCATCCTTCTGTCTTTTCCCAAGTGACTCACCTACCTCAACCTCCCAAAGTGCCGGGATTACAGGCGTGAGCCACTGTGGCCAGCCATTCTTTTCCTTTTTTAAAACAATTTTTATCTTCTTTATTTTAAGTAGAGATGGGGTCTCACTATGTTGCCCAGGCTGGTCTTGAACTCCTGGGCTCAAGCGATCCTCCTGCCTTGGCCTCCCACAGTGCTAGGATTACAGACATGATCCACTGCACTTGGCCCAGTGGTACAGTTTTACACTCATTAGATGGTCAAGAAATGCCTAAACGCTATAATAAATATAGAACTTTACCTTGAGAAGACCTAACATTTCCTTCAGAAAGTAAATATGAGAGGGGTGGAGACGGTGCATTATCTTATTTTTATGATTTTAAAAATGTATACAGAATTGTACATATTTATGGGGTGGACAGCAATATTGCAGTACATGTATACAACGTGCTATGATCAAATCAGGGTAATTGACATATTCATCCCTGTATTTTTTGAGACAAAGTCAGGCTTCGTCACCCGAGCTAGAGTGCAGTGGTGTGATCTCAGCTCACTGCAACCTCTGCCTCCCAGGCTCAAGCCATTCTCCCACCTCAGCCCCCTGAGTTGCTGGGAGTATAGGGATGCACCACCACACCTGGCTAATTTTTGTGTTTTTTTGTTTTGTTGGTAGAGATGAGGTTTCACCATGTTGCACAGGCTGATCTTGTTTTCTAATGTGAAGGGAAGCGGGCAACGTGCTAGTTTTACACTAAGGAAAATGAATGACATACCCAAACTGCCTGCAAGACCCGTTCTGAGAGACGAAAGGAGATTTGTTAGACCGCAGTGGGAGATGGAGTGAGGGTGAGAGTTTCTGGGGAAAACCAGACAAGAGCACAGAGGGCCAAAGGGAAGCACGGGAGGATTTTGCACAGAGGATGGAACAGAGTCAACCCTGAGAGCTGGGAACCTTAGAGATCCGTCTGGAGCCCATATTAGAGAGGTTGAAGAAAGAGGCCAGTATGTGGTCCAGCCAGGGTACCATGTCATCCACAGTGTGCAGGGAGGAGGATGGGGTCTCCACAGATTCCTTCCATCCCAAATGGAGGGTGCCCTCAGACAGAGAGGCAGACAGACAGACAGACACTGGCCGAACGGCTCCCTGATGGAACACCAGGAGGAGGCAGCATGGCCTCGTTTCCACAGCTGTAGCCTCTGCCCTCCTGCTTCCACGCTCCACACACGCCAGTCTTTGAGTCGCCTCCCATGCCATGATCCCTCCCTTGGATACGACCGTGCCTGGGGTTCAGCGGTCATGAACATAACCCGCGGCTGTGAACATCCTGTCGGCCTCCATCCTGACCCCCGTTTGATTTCCGGGTCAGCGGGAGGGGCGGGAGGGGCGGAAGCGGCCTCTGCACAGCCCTGCCCCTGTGCCGCAGGCGCTTCCTCCGGCTGTGCCAGTCCTCTGCCAGAAACCCCGCCAGGATTATTAGGATCACAGCCCCGAGGCATATCCGGACCAGGTTGCCCTTGGTGTAGTACTGGCGGGCAGGACCTGGAGGAATGAGGAGAGGCAGGAGCAGGTGAAAGAGCCCACCTCCAGGACCCCCTCCAAGCCACATCTGGGCTTCTCAGAGATCCTATTATTCTCTACTAGCTAGGGGATGCCGCTCACTTTCCTGGAGGGTCCCTCCCTTCCCGAGTAGGGGTCAGGGCCAGATGACCCCAATTCTCTAAGTAGCACCTCTCCCTCCTGTGCTCTCACAGGGCTCTGAGACAACTCCTCCCCAGACACAGATGCTGCCTCGTTATCTGATGCATTGCAAAAGAGAGGACAGTTATAAGGGGTGGGGAAGAGATGGAATCTCTCTTTCTCTGACCCTTTTTAAAATCTCAACCTTCCCACCTGATCTTAATGCCCAATTCTGAACCCCATACGCTGATATTCTGCCTTTACTCTACACACTGGAACCCAAGATCTGAGAGCTGCAGCCCCTGCGTAGACAAAGGAGTTGGCTTTGGTGAAGAGACGGGTGAGAAGGAAGGGGGTCTGGAGAGGATGACTTACTCACCAGCTGGAGAGTCTGACTCCTTTGGACTGGCGGTGATACTCCTAGAAGTCTCTGGGAACCAAACAAAGGCTAAGTGTGAAATGAAACCATATTCCCGCCCCCTGTCACTGTGCCTACTCCGAACACACACACACATGGGGAGGCACAATTCCACAGCATTTAAGAAAAGCATGGGCCGGGCACGGTGCCTCATGCCTATAATCCCAGCACTTTGGGAGGCTGAGGTAGGAGGCTGGCTTGAGTCCAGGAGTTCAAGACCAACCTGAGCAACATAGAAAAACCCTATCTCTACAAAAAAATACAAAAATTAGCCAGGCGTGGTGGCACGTGCCAGTAATCCCAGCTACTCAGTGGAGGCTGAGGCAGGAAGATCACCTGAGCCCTGGGAGGTTGAGGCTGCAGTGAGCCAGGATTGTACCACTGCACTCTAGCCTGGGAAACAGAGCGAGACCCTGTCCAAAAAAAAAAAAGCAAGAACTGTAGAGTCAGGCTGTCCTCCAGATTTGAACCCCAACTCTATCACCTATTAGATGTCAGTTATCTGGCAAGTGACTCAGCATCTGTGAGCCAGTTCCCCATGTGTCCAATAAAATTAACAAGATCCCTTATAGGTTGATGTGAAAGTCAAGATAATAATAATGGTAGAAATATAAAGCACCGTGCTTGACATATGAGCACCTCATACGTGCCAGCTTTTTTTTTTTTTTTTTTGAGACAGAGTCTGGCTCTGTCTCCCAGGCTGGAGTGCAGTGGCCCGATGTCGGCTCACTTCAACCTCCGCCTCCTGGGCTCAAGCGATTCTCCTGCCTCAGCCTCCCGAGTAGCTGGGACTACAGGCGTCCGCCACCACGCCCAGCTAAGTTTTGTATTTTTAGTAGAGATGGGATTTCACCATATTGGCCAGGTTGGTTTTGAACTCCTGACCTTGTGATCCGCCCGCCTAGGCCTCCCAAAGTGCTGGGATTACAGGCGTGAGCCACTGCACCCGGCCTCCAGCTCTCTTATTCCTCAAGTATCTCCTGAGACTCGCCAGGTACTCAGCCATGTGCTGGGCCATGGGAACCCAAATATTAATAAGACATTGTCAGGCCAGGCATGACACTGGCTGAATGCCTGTAATCCCAGCACTTTGGGAGGCCAAGGTGGGCGGATCACCTGAGGTCAAGAGATCGAGACCATCCTGGCCAACATGGTGAAACCCCGTCTTTACTAAAAATACAAAAAATAGCTGGGCATGGTGGCACACACCTGTAGTCCCAGCTACTCAGGAGCCGGAGATTGCAGTGAGCTGAGATCGCAGAGTGAGCCGAAATCACAGATCACAGAGTGAGCAGAGTGAGACTCCGTCTCAAAAACAACAACAAAAAACAAAAAAACCATAAGACATTGTCCATCTGCGGTTCCCAGACTATTGCAGGAGACCAAAAAGTAAAGCGATTTTTTTTTTTTTTTAATACGGAGTCTCACTCTGTTGCCCAGGCTGGAGTGCTGTGGTGTGATCTCAGGTCACTGCAACCTCCAACTCGTGAGTTCAAGCGATTCTCCTGCCTCAGCCTCCCAAGTAGCTGGAATTACAGGTGCCCACCACCACGCCCGGCTAATTTTTGTATTT
This sequence comes from Homo sapiens, assembly GCF_000001405.40. NCBI lineage: Eukaryota > Metazoa > Chordata > Mammalia > Primates > Hominidae > Homo > Homo sapiens. Next base: position 999,367 of record NW_003571058.2, read on the forward strand.
TCAGTAGAGACGGGGTTTCAGCATGTTGGCCAGGCTGGTCTCCTGACCTCAGGTGATCCACTCACCTTGGCCTCCCAAAGTGCTGGGATTACAGACAAAGCGATAATTTTAATATACTGTAAAAATTGCTGTAATAGGCAGCCCACAAGACACTGAGCGAGAGCAGAGGAAACCATCGATCCAGCCTGGACGGTCAAGGCTTTCTTGAGGAATTGATGCCATGGGGAAATGGAAGAAAAGGCAGAGTGAGTGGGTTGGGTGCAGAGTCAGGAGAGGTTAGGAAGCCTCCAGGAGAGCTTCAAGTGACTGTGTGTGGCTGAGAACAGCATGGGAATGCGTGGAAGGTATGCAGACAAAATTGGAGGGATCAACAGGGGCTGGATATCTAAGCTCACAGAATAGCAAGCTGAGGAATTGGAACTGCATCCTGAGGGTGATTGGGAGGTTCCGAACTGAAGATAGGGAAGGCTTCCATCACAGAACTCCCTGGGATATGCCGGGCGCGGTGGCTCATGCCTCCAATCCCAGCACTTTGGGAGGCCGAGACAGGTGGATCATGAGGTCAGGAGTTCAAGACCAGCCTTCCCAAGATGCTGAAACCCCGTCTCTACTAAAATACAAAAATTAGCCAGGTGTGGTGGCATGCACCTATAATCCCAGCTACTCGGGAGGCTGAGGCAGGAGAATCGCTTGAACCCGGGCAGCAGAGGTTACAGTGAGCCGAGATCGCACCACTGCACTCCAGCCTGGGCGACAGAGCAAGACTCCACCTCAAAAAAATAAAAAATAGAACTACGTGGGATCAGGTGCCTCATGAAAGCCAGAGTCATGTGGGCCCAGTGGAAGTATCTAACCTATTATCAGGGAATCTGTGAAGGTGTTTAGTCTGGAAGGAAATGGAGATTTTCCAGGACAGGCAAGGGGAAAGAGACTGAGGAAAGCGTATCTGCAGAGGCCTGGAGCGGTTAGAAGATGTGCTGTGTCCAGGTGCCTACAGTCTGTGTGCGTCCGAGCATGGGCTCTACCTGGACACAGTGAGGAGCGAGATTAAATACCTGGATCACAGCCGAGTCCAAAGCCTAGGACTTCATCCTGGGAGCAGTGCGTAGGGATGGCGGTCGTCCCGCCACAGCCTTGGCTCCGCCATCTTTGAAATGGCCCCATCACCCAAAACGCTCCTCCTTCTGAACCCCAGAGCTCCACTCTGCACCCATGCTCTAGCCTCACACCAAGGACTTTCTTGGTAAGAGACGGACAGTTCGGTGAAGTGATTAAAAGCCTACAGGCTTAGATAATGGAAGAGAGAGCTCCGTCCTCACACTCCTTTCTGCTGAGCATGAAATGCCTGGTTACTCACCAGTTGTGAAGACTTCGTTTGTGAATGAGACGGTCAGTTCAGCGGTGGCTTCTGAGAATTCTAAGAAAGCAAAACAATGTTAGGTCTTCCCCGTGGTTCCCTATATCCTCTAGATATCTCCATTCCCCTTTTGAGATATCTAGGCTCCCTGAAACCCCTTTCTCTGACACACTGCACAGACACTGAAGACAGACAAATTCGAAAGGTGTAAGACTTATCTTCCATGACCGGCTTAGTAAGAAGCAGATCCGTTCAGCAATTGATAGACACTTGGTTTTTTTTCCACGTTTTGCTGTTATGAATATTGCTGCTGTGAACATTGACGTACAGGTTTTTGTGTGAACATAAGTTTTCTGTTCTCTTGGGTACACACCCAGGGGTGGTGGAATCACTGGGTCATACAGTAACTCTGTGTTTTACTTTTTGAAGAACTACCAGACTTCTTTCTTTTTTTTCTTTTTTTTTTTTTTTTGAGACAGAGTCTCATTCTGTTGCCCAGGCTGGAGTGCAGTGGCGCGATCTCAGCTCACTGCAACCTCCACCTCCTGGGTTCAAGCGATTCTCCTCCCTCAGCCTCCCGAGTAGCTGGGATTACAGGCACCTGCCATCACGCCTGGCCAACTTTTTTTTTTGTACTTTAGTAGAGGCGGGGTTTCACCATGTTGGCCAGGATGGTCTCGATCTCCTGACCTCGTGATCCACCCTCCTTGGCCTCTCAAAGTGCTGGGATTACAGGCTGCGCCTGGCCACAGACTGTTTTTCAAAGCAGCTGCACCATTTTATATTCCCACCAGCAATATAAGAAGGTTCTTCCAAATCCTCACCAATACTTCTTGTCCGTTTGTTTTGTTTTAAAAATCATAGTCATCCTAGTTGGCATGGTGAATTTTATGGTATGTGAATTATATCTCAGTTTGAATAATAAGATGTGGATCCATGTCTTCGTGAGCCTAGAGGAAGAATGAGCTCGTGTTAGCCTCAGAACACGGGATCTCCACCTTCCAACTTAGGCCATTTTCTTTTTTTCTTTTTTTTTTTTTTTTTGAGACAGAGTCTTACTCTGTCGTCCAGGCTGGAGTGCAGTGGTGCAATCTCGGCTCACTGCAAGCTCTGCCTCCCGGGTTCACACCATTATCCTGCCTCAGCCTCCCGAGTAGCTGGGACTACAGGCACCCGCCACCACGCCTGGCTAATTTTTTTGTATTTTCAGTAGAGATGGGGTTTCACCGTGTTAGCCAGGATGGTCTCGATCTCCTGACCTTGTGATCCACCCGCCTCAGCCTCCCAAAGTGCTGGGAATACAGGCGTGAGCCACCGCGCCCGGCCAGGCCATTTTCTTAACCAGGGGCCTCCTGAGGCCACCAAAATATTCCTGAACTGCCTCAGCTGATAAATACGAAGCTCTTGTTGCAGTGGGTACTATCCTGGGAGTCTTTTTATGGTGGAACCAGCTTGGAAAAAACTAGTTTATGCTCAGCTCTCGGTGGCATAATGAGAGTGTGGGTATTATTTGGTCTTTGTTATTTCTCTTCGTGTGAGATGCATTAATAAACCTTTTTTTTTTTTTTCAATTAAAATTTCAGTTCCAGAATCCATGTGCAGGACGTGCAGGTTTGTTACATAGGTAAACGTGTGCCATGGTGGTTTGCTGCACCCATCAACCCATCACCTAGGTATTAAGCCCCACACGCATCAGCTATTTATCCTGATCCTCTCCCTCCCCCAATTCCCCCTACAGGCCCCAGTGTGTGGTGTTCCCCTCCCTGTGTCCATGTGATCTCATTGTTCAGCTGCCACTTACAAGTGAGAACATGCAGTGTTTGGTTTTCAGTTCCTGTGTTAGTTTGCTGAGGATAATGTTTTCCAGCTCCATCCATGTCCCTGCAAAGGACATGATCTCATTCCTTTTTATGGCTGCATAGTATTCCATGGTGTATATGTACTGTATTTGCTTTATCCTTTCTATCATTGATGGGCATTTGGGTTGATTCCTTGTCTTTGCTATTGTGAATAGTGCTGCAATGAACATATGTGTGCATGTATCTTTATAATACAATGATTTATATTCCTTTGGGTATATAACCAGTAATGGGATTGCTGGGTCAAATGGTATTTCTGGCCAGGCGCAGTGGCTCACACATGTAATCCCAGCACTTTGGGAGGCCGAGGTGGGCAGATCACCTGAGGTCAGGAGCTCAAGACCACCCTGGCCAACATGGTGAAACTCCCGTCTCTAGCAAAAATCCAAAAATTAGCCAGGCGTTGTGGCATGCACCTGCAGTCCCAGCTACTCGGGAGGCTGAGGCAGGAGAATCACTTGAACCCTGGAGGCAGAGGCTGCAGTGAGCCGAGATCATGCCCCTGCAATCCAGCCTGGGTGACAGAGTGAGACTCTGTTTAAAAAAAAAAAAAAAAAAAAAAGGTGGCCCTGGTGCGGTGGCTCACGCCTGTAATCCCAGCACTTTGGGAGGCCGAGGCAGGTGGATCACCTGAGGTCAGAAGTTTGAGACCAGCATGACCAACAAGGTAAAACCCCATCTCTACTAAAAGAAAAAAAAAAAAAAAAGCCAGGCATGGTGGCAGGCGCCTGTAGTCCCAGTTACTTAGGAGGCTGAGACAGGATAATTGCTTGAACCTGGGAGGTGGAGGTTGCAGTGAGCCGAGATCGCACCACTGCACTCCAGCATGGGCTATTGAGCAATACTACATCTCAAAAAAAAAAAAAAGGAAAAAGGATTTCTGGTTCTGGGTCTTTGAGGAATCACCACACTGTCTTCCACAATGAACTAATTTACATTCCCAACAGTGTAAAAGCATTCCTATTTCTCCACAGCCTCGCCAGCACCTGTTGTTTCTTGACTTTTGTTGGTTTTTTTTTTTTTTTTTTGAGATGGAGTCTTGCTCTGTCGCCCAGGCTGGAGTGCAGTGGCACAATCTTGGCTCACTGCAACCTCCGCCTCCCGGGTTCACGCCATTCTCCTGCCTCAGCCTCCCGAATAGCTGGGACTACAGGCGCCCGCCACCACGCCCGGCTAATTTTTTGTATTTTTAATAGAGACGGGGTTTCACCGTGTTAGCCAGGATGGTCTCGATCTCCTGACCTTGTGATCTGCCTGCCTCGGCCTCCCAAAGTGCTGGGATTACCGGCGTGAGCCACCGTGCCCGGCGTTTCTTGACTTTTTAATAATCGCCATTTTGACTGGTGTGAGATGGTGTCTAAATGTGGTTTTGATTTGCATTTCTCTAATGATTGGTGATGTTGAGCTTTTTTTTGTATGTTTACTGGCTGCATAAACGTCTTCTTTTGAGAAGTGACTGTTCATGTCCTTTACCCACTTTTTAATGGTTTTTTTTTTCTTGTAAATTTGTTTAACTTCCTTGTAGATTCTGGATATTAGACTTTTGTGAATTGATAGATTGCAAACATTTTCTCCCATTCTGTAGGTTGTCTGTTCACTCTGATGATACTTTCTTTTGCTGAGCAGAAGCTCTTTAGTTTAGTTAGATCCCATTTGTCAGTTTTTGCTTTTGTTACAATTGCTTTTGACGTTTTTGTCATGAAATCTTTGCCCATGCCTGTGTCCTGAATGGTATTACCTAGATTTTCTTCTAGGGTTTTTATAGTTTTCGGGTTTTGCATCCAAGTCTTTCATCCATCTTGAGTTAATTTTTGTACAAGGTGTAAGGAACGGGTCCAGTTTCTATTTTCTGCATATGGCTAGCCAATTCTCCCAGCACCATTTATTAACCCACAGCCAATTTCATACTAAATGGGCATTTCCCTTGAAAACCAGCACAAGACAAGGATGCCCTCTTTCACCACTCCTATTCAACATAGTATTGGAAGTTCTGGCCAGGATAATCAGGCAAGAGAAAGAAATAAAGGATACTCAAATAGGAAGAGAGGAAATCAAACTATCTCTGTTTGCAGATGACATGATCCTATATCTAGAAAACCCCATCATCTCAGCCCAAAAGTTTCTTAAGCTGATAAGCAACTTCAGCAAAGTCTCAGGATACAAAATCAATGTGCAAAAATCACAAGCATTCCTATACACCAACAATAGACAGGCAGAGAGCCAAATCATGAAGGAACTCCCATTCACAATTGCTACAAAGAGAATAAAATACCTAGGAATACAGCTAACAAGGAAAGTGAAGGACATCTTCAAGGAGAACTACAATTCACTGCTCAAGAAAATCAGAGCGGACACAAACAAATGGAAAAACATTCCATGCTCATGGATAGGATGAATCAATATCGTGAAAATGGCCATACTGCCCAAAGTAATTTATAGATTCATTGCTATTCCCATTGAACTATCATTGACATTCCTCACACAATTAGAAAAAACTATAAAATTCATATGGAACCAAAAAAGGGCCCATATAGCCAAGACAATACTAAGCAAAAAGAACAAAGCTGGAGGCCTCAGGCTCAGACTTCAGACTATATTACAAGGTGATAGTAACCAAAACAGCATGGTACTGGTACAAAAACAGACACATAGACCAATGGAACAGAATAGAGATCTCAGAAATAAGACCACACATCTACAACCATCTGATCTTCAACAAACCTGACAAAAACAAGCAATGGGGAAAGGATTCCCTATTTAATACACCTTGTTTTGATTTTGATTTCAACACAGCGTGTGGTATTTGCATGCCATGTGATACAGTTTGAATATGTGTTCCCACCAAATCTCATACTGGATTATGATCCCCAATGTTGGAGGTGGGGGCCTGGTGGGAGGTGTTTGGATCATAGGGGTGGATCCCTCATTGCTTGGTGCTTTCCTTGCAATAGTAAGTGAATTCTCACAAGATCTGGCTATTGCAAAGTGTGGCATGTCCCCCAGTCCCAACTCTCTCTCTCTCTTGCTCCTGCTCCCACCACATGAGACAGCTACCCCCTCTTTGCCTTCTGCCATGACTGTAAGCTTCCTGAGGCCTCCCCAAAAGCAGAAGCCAGCCTTCTGCTTCCTATACGGCCTTCAGAACCATGAACCAATTAAACCTCTTTTCTTATCAATGATCCAGTCTCAGATATTTATAGCAGCACAAAATCGGCCTAATATAGCATGAAATATTGCTCAGCAATCAAAAGGAACACATCATTGATACATACAGCAGCTTGGATGGGCCTCAGGGGCATTGCACTGAGTGACAAAAGGATATCTCAAACGGTTGCATACTGGATGATCCCATTTACATCAGATTCTAGAAATGGAAGATTATAGAGATGGAGAACAAATTAATGGATACCAGGAGTTAGGGATGGCAAGGGAAGGAGAAGGGTGTAGGTGTGAATATAAAAGGGTAGCCCAAGGGAGGCCCTTGTGAGACGGAAGAGTTCTGTACAGTGACTGCGGTGATGGTGACGCGAATCTACAACTGTGACAAATTGGCATAGAACTAGACACCTACTTTATGCCAATGTCAAATTCCTGGTTTTTATGTTGTACTCTAATTACGTAAGATGTAACCATTAGAGGAAACTGGAAAAAGAGCACATGGGATTCTTCTGTTCTATCATTGTAGACTTCCTGTGACTCTAGAACCATTTCAAAAGAGAAAGTTCAAAAATTCAGTCAGAAGCACACGCACACATATGCACGCATGCACACACACACATATGCACGCATGCACACACATATGCACGCACACACACATATGCACGCACACACGCACATGCACGCACACACACATATGCACGCACACAGTATGTGACCATCTTCCATGTCCCTGCCCACTAGGCATAATAGCCCTCACTCTGCCCTCAACCCCGCAAATCTCATCCTTATCAACCTCGGCTCTTTCCAGCATGTTTCTCCTGCCTTGGTGCTTCACTCTGAGACACAGGGAATGTTAGACACGCCCAGCCTCCAGCCTAGCGTATGATATTCTTAAAGTGCAGGCCGTAGTCTGGTACACCGTATTCAGCTGAGATGTTTGTGAAAGTGGAGGGGATAACACGCCTCACACAAAACTTACCGCAGTGGTTCTCAAAGCAGCATTCTGGAGCCATAGCATCAGCATCACCTGGGAACTTACTAGGAATGAAAATGACTGGATTCACCCCAGACCTACTGAAGCAGAAGCCCTGGGGGCTCAGAAATCTATTCTTTAAGCCTCCAGGTGATTCTTATGCTCATGGAAGTTTGAGAACCGCTGATCAATGCATTCAGTGACTCAGAAACAGAGTCCCGGACTCTACAGGTTTGTTGGTTGGTTGGTTGGTTGGTTGGTTGGTTAGTTTGTTTGTTTTTGTCACCCATATTCAACCAGCTGGACTCCACAGTATAGCAAGCCACTCCGATTATTCTTCTGCATGTTATATGTGATAAACCATCCACCTAGAGTAGGATTGGGGGCAGCATCTTAACATCTAACTACTTAGGACACCCACCCTGTTTACAGGCAGAAATAAAGGATTTTTAAAACAAAGCAAATCTGTGAAAGAACCAACTGAATTAAATCGAGAAGTCTAGGCAGAGAGGAGAGAGAGAAGGGGTCCGTGTACCTCATACGCTGTGCACCAGAATGGACCCTGCAGAACCTACCTGCTACCGGGGAAGGTGGTTCTGTTGGTAACCGGCTGGGGGTCACAGAGGTTCCTGGGAAATCAGAAAATGAGATAAATCTGTGCTCTGTCGCTGTGGGTCCTGAACAAATAACGAAACATCTCCGTGACTGAGTTTCCTCACCGGAAAAATGAGCCTAAAGTAGCTTACATCACTGGACTGTTGTGGATGTTAATAAGCATTTGAGCTGGGTGCAGTGCCTCATGCCTGTAATCCCAGCACTTTGGGAGGCTGAGGAGGGCAGATCACTTGAGGTCAGGAGTTCAAGCCCAGCCTGGCCAGTATGGTGAAACCCCGTCTCCACTAAAAATACAAAAATTAGCCAGGCGTGGTGGTGTGCACCTGTAATCCCAGCTGCTCGGGAGGCTGAGGCAGGAGAATCACTTGAACCTAGGAGGCAGAGGTTGCAGTGATCTGAGATCGCACCACTGCACTCCAGCCTGGGTGACGCAGTAAGACTCCATCTGAAAAAAAAAGGCTTAGCCAGGCGTGGTGGCTCACACCTGTAATCCCAGCACTTTGAGAGGCCGAGGCAGGCAGATCACCTGAGGTCAAGAGTTCAAGACCAGCCTGGCCAACATGGTGAAACCCTGTCTCTACGAAAAATACAAAAATTAGCTGGGCATGATGGCAGGTGCCTGTAATCCCATCTACTCAGGAGGCTGAGGCAGGAGAATCGCTTAAACCCAGGAGGTGGAGGTTGCAGTGAACTGAGATCACTCCACTGCACTCCAGCCTGGGTGACAAAGTGAGACTCCCCCCAAAAAAAAAAAAAAAAAAAAAAGCAGCAGCATTTGTAAAGCACACCTGGCACATTCTGGGCTATTAACAAGGAAATGCATGCAGCTCCCGTCCACCTTTTTCAACCTCAGTTCTATTTCTTCTGGATTCCTGTGTCCTACCCCTCACTGTGACCCTGGGGGCAAAACAGATTTTTCTACCAAAAACTAAATGATGTATTTTGTTTGATTTAATATGACATTGTTAAATGTACTGATCAGTGGCGTTGGGTATGTTCACATTGTGGTACAATATGTTGACCTCTAGAACTTATTTTTCTTGCAAAACTGAAATTCTGTGCCCATTAAACACTAATTCCTTCTCTCTCCTCTTTCTGGCCCTTAACAACCACCATTGTACTTTGTGTTTCTACAGTGTTGACATTAGATACCTCCTTTGACTAGAATCATACAGTAGTTGTCCTTTTGTGACTGACTTAGCATAATGTCCTCAAGGTATATCCATGTTGTAGTATGTGTCAGAATTTCCTTCTTTTTTAAGGCTGCATAATATTCCATTGCATGTATATAACCACATTATGAGGTATGCTGCTCTTTTTTGAAAGAAACCCCCTTTAAGAATGGTAGTCAAGTCCGACGCGGTGGCTCACGCCTGTAATCCCAGCACTTTGGGAGGCCGAGGCGGGCAGATCATGAGGTCAGTTCAAGACCAGCCTGACCAACATAGTGAAACCCCGTCTCTACTAAAAATACAAAAATTGGCCGGGCATGGTGGCAGGCACCTGTAATTCCAGCTACTCGAGAGGCTGAGGCAGCAGAATCGCTTGAACCCGGAAGGCGGAGGTTGCAGTGAGCTGAGATCGCGCCACTGCACTCCAGCCTGGGTGACAGAGTGAGACTTCGTCAAAAAAAAAAAAAAGAAACCTCCATTCTCCCAGCTGCCTGTAGCCCAGGGCTTCCTGCCCTCCCACTTCCTTCCCACCTCTGGCCCCGCCCCTGCAGCCCAGGGCTTCCTGCCCTCCCACTTCCTTCCCACCTACGGCCCCGCCCCTGCAGCCCAGGGCTTCCTGCCCTCCCACTTCCTTCCCACCTACGGCCCCGCCCCTGCAGCCCAGGGCTTCCTGCCCTCCCACTTCCTTCCCACCTACGGCCCCGCCCCTGCAGCCCAGGGCTTCCTGCCCTCCCACTTCCTTCCCACCTACGGCCCCGCCCCTGCAGCCCAGGGCTTCCTGCCCTCCCACTTCCTTCCCACCTACGGCCCCGCCCCTGCAGCCCAGGGCTTCCTGCCCTCCCACTTCCTTCCCACCTCTGGCGCCGCCCCTGCAGCCCAGGGCTTCCTGCCCTCCCACTTCTTTCCCACCTATGGCCGCGCCCCTACAGCCCAGGGCTTCCTGCCCTCCCACTTCCTTCCCACCTACGGCCCCGCCCCTGCAGCCCAGGGCTTCCTGCCCTCCCACTTCCTTCCCACCTACGGCCCCGCCCCTGCAGCCCAGGGCTTCCTGCCCTCCCACTTCCTTCCCACTTATGGCCCCTCCCTTGGAATGGCCATCAGGACCTATAAAGGCTGAGGAAGAAAGGTTTGGTCTGCACTACCCCTACCTGTGACCACAAGCTCCAGGGGGTCGCTGGGGGCTGACCACAGGTATGGGTCCCTGCTGGAGAAGCTGTAGCATCGGTAGGTTCCGCTGTGGGCGGCGGTCACCGTGATGATGGGAAAACTAGCCCTGTACCATCTCTCGGGATTCTTGTAGGGCGCAGGGTCCCCTTCCTTGTACAGAGCAAATTGGTCAAAGCCATACCGAGTCTGACACTGTAGGGTTACGTCCCCTCCTGACGACACCGCCGGGCCGGGCTGGGCTGAGAGCGAGGGTTTGGCAAAAACTCCTGGGAGAAAAAGAAAGTCTGATGTTGAAGGCAGGAGCCAGCATCTCAGCTGAGACTGGGGAGGTCCCCACACCTGCCTAAGAGCTGGGGAGCTTTTTGGCTGTATCCCTCCCAGAGAGCGCACTCCCCCACCCAAGCTCACAGAGAGGTCGAGTCACCCAGTGGTTGAGGAAGGAGGCTGTGCTCACGTCCTAGTGCTTGGGTGCAAATCCTAGTTCTGCCTTCAGGGGCCTGGTGGCCCTGGAGACAAATCTCCCTCTGTATCTGAGCCTCACTGCCTTGTTCTGTTAAAATGGGGATGACTGAATGAGACAGTACACAGTAATTTGCAGAGTGCCTGTTGCCTAGCAAGCGCTGGAGTAAGTAAATAGCTTAAGCTTATACTGTGCTGTAAGCTTGTATTGCCACATACAATTGTTACGTTGTAAATGTGGCTGACAGTGCTAGCTTCCGGGTGCCTTCCAAACTTATGATGTATATCAGTTCAGTGAATCCTCAGAGACCTATGGAGTCCTCACTCTTAATGTCCCTATTTTATAAATGAAACTAAGGCACATGGCATTAAATAATTTGTCCAACTCTAGGTAACAATACTGCAGTGTACAGCTGAAATTTGCTAAGAGGGTAGATTATAAGTATTCTCACACACAAAAAAGTTAACTGTGTCAGGTGATGTATGTTAATTAGCTTGCTAGTAGTAACTGTCTCACAGTGGATTCGTATATCAAAACATCAACTTGTACACCTTGGATATATTCCATTTTTGTTTTTCAATTATACCTCAACAAAGCTGGACATATTTTAATTTAAAAATAAATAAAAAACTTGTCCAAGATCATAAGTGGCAGAGTTGAAATCTGCACTCACAGAGTTTGATTCCAGGGTCTCCGCTCCTAAACACGAACCTACACTACTCTGATGTGAGGTTGTTGTCATAGACCGGTGTGGTGATGCATGCCTGCACACAGGAGTCAGAAAAACAAAGGTTGAGGCTGGGTGCGGCGGCTCACACCGGTCATCCCAGCACTTTGGGAGGCCAAGGTGGGAGGATCGCTTGAGCCCAGGAAGGCGAGGCTGCAGTGAGCTATGATCACTGTACACTAGCCTGGGTGACAGAGTGAGACCTTGTCTCAAAAAAAGACAGAGAGAGAAAGCAAAAGAAAGGAAGTAAGGAAGATAAAAATATAAGCTGCCTAATAATTATGGCATTCACTCAACAAGAAGAAAAAGAAAGAAAGAGGAAGGAAGGGAGGGAGGGAGGAAGGAAGGAAGGAAATATATAAGCTGCCTGATAACTGTAACATTCACTCAGCAATATTTTCTCTTAATTTTCACTTAAGCAACTATTATGTGTCTGTCTGTATTCTTTTTTTGTTGTTTCATTTGTTTTGTTTTGTTTTGTTTTGTTTTGAGACGGAGTCTCGCTCTGTCACCCAGGCTGGAGTGCAATGGCATATATATATATATATATATATATATATATATATATATATATATATATATATATATATATTTTTTTTTTTTTTTTTTTTTTTTTTTTTTTTGGGAAACAGAATCTCACTCTGTTGCCCAGGCTGGAGTGCAGTGGCATGATCCCAGCTCACTGCAACCTCCACCTCCTGGGTTCAAGCGATTCTCCTGCCTCAGCCTCCCGAGTAGCTGGGACTACAGGCATGCACCACCATGCCCAGTTAATTTTGTATGTTTAGTAGAGACAGGGTTTCACCATGTTAGCCAGGCTGATCTCGAACTCCTGACCTCAGGTGATCCGTCCACCTCGGCCTCCCAAAGTGCTGGCATTACAGGCGTGAGCCACCGTGCCCGACCAGGAATTAAAAATAGACAACCACCACCAAGATAAAAAAAGGTATACTTCACATACCAGATAGTGAGGAGGGCCACTTTGACTAGGGTGGTGGGGGATATACTTAGCGAGAAGAGAGTATTTGAGTCTGACCCTGAAAGAAGTAATGAGGCAGCCAGGCTGGTCCATTCTAGTAGCAGAGAGGAGGCCAGTGATGCTGTGGAGGGGAGTGAGGCAGGGAAGAGGGGAGGGAGGCAGGATTTATAACGCGGAATAGACCACAGTGCAGCTGGCCAGGAATTAGGGTGGCGTGAGTGAGGCACTCTCCTGGGATGTAAAATTTAATTATTCCCAAACAATTAACATATTTGAAAAAATTATTGAAAATTTGAAGAGTAGGTCGTTAAAACTCACATTATTCTGTTTGAATACTTTATTCCCCTGAAAGATTTATTAGAATTTTACATTCTAGGCTTTTGTGGATGCAAGCGCATCAGTGCTATTTCCAAAACCTACTTCTAGAAAATAACCATTTAAAAGTGCACTAACTGGGTGCACCTATAGTCCCAGCTACTAGGGAGGACCACTTGAGCCCAGGGATTTGAGGCTAAAGTGAGCTATGATCATGCCTGTGAATACAGCGAGTGTACTAAAGCCTGGGCAACATAGTAAGACCTCTTCTCTTTTTTTTTTTTTCCCAAGACGGAGTCTTGCTCTGTCGCCCAGGCTGGACTGCAGTGGTGCAATCTCGGCTCACCGCCTCCCAGGTTTAAGCGATTCTCCTGCCTCAGCCTCCGGAGTAGCTGGGATTACAGGAGTGCGCCACCGCGCCCAGCTAATTATTATTATTTTTTTTAGTAGAGACGGGGTTTCACCATGTTGGCCAGGCTGGTCTCAAACTCCTGACCTTAAGTGATCCACCCACCTCAGCCTCCCAAAGTACTGGGATTACAGGCGTGAGCCGCCGCGCCCGGCCCAACCTCTTCTCTTAAAAAAAATAAATAAATAAGAAAAGAAATTAGAATATTTGCACCAATCAAGAGTCTAAGGAGACATAAATACTAAATGCACTGTGGGGCCCTGGACGGGGTCTGGGAACAGAAATAGGATATTAGTGGAAAGACTGGTGAAATTCAAATAGCCTGGAGTTTACTTGATATAATATAGTTGTGTCTATGGTTAGTTTTTTGTTTGTTTTTTGATACAGGGTCTCACTCTGTCACCCAGGCTGGAGTGCAGTGGCGTGATCACAGCTCCCTGCAGCCTCGGCCTCCCTGGCTCAAGCGATCCTCCTGCCTCAGCCTCCTGAGTAGCTGGGACTATAGGTGTATGCCACCATGCCCCACTAATTTTTAATTTTGTTTAAAGATGAGGTCTCACTATGTTGCCCAGGCTGGTCTTGAACTCCTGAGCTCAAGCAATCCTCCCGCCTCAGCCTCCCAAAGTGCTGGGATTACAGGTGTAAACCACTGGGACCAGTGCTACGTTTATTTTTTGGTTGTAACAAATGTAAGATGTTAACATGAGGGGATCCTGGGTGAAATATTTCCATTAATATTATCTTTGGAACTTTTCTGTCAGTCTAAAAATTACTCCAAAACAAAGTTTTAAAAAGAATCCCGAGCCAAGCACGGTGGCCCGTGACCGTAGTCCCTGCTACTCATGAGGCTGAGGCAGGAGGATTGCTCAAGGCAAGGAGCTCCAGGCTGCAGTGAGCTATGACTGCTCCTATGAACAGCCACTGCACTCCGGCCTGGGCAGTGTAGCAAGACCCCATCGCTAATTTTTTTAAGTGCATTAAAACACAGATAAAGGGTTGCCTGTTTTTCGTTTTGGCACAGACTCTGGTATGACTTGACACAGGCACTGGCTGATTCTGCCTTTATTTGAAATTCTGGTTTTTTTCATTGTGGATGTTTTTGCAATTTATTTTGATTTTTTTAAAAATTGCATGAAAATGTTATTCACAGCCAGATGCAGTGGCTCACGCCTGAAATCCCAACACTTTGGGAAGCCAAGGTGGAAGGATAGCTTGAGCCCACAGGAGTTCGAGACCAGCCTGAGCAACATAGCGAGACCCTATCTCTCTCTCTTTTGTATTTTAATGCCTTTTGTGAAAACTGTCAAGAGACCCCATCTCTATAAAAACATAAAAAATGAGCTGGGCGTGGTGGTGCACACCTGTAATCCTAGCTACTTGGAGGGCTGAGGCGGGAGAATCGCTTGAGCCCTGGAGGTGGAGGCTGCAGTGAGCCAAGATCGCGCCACTGCTCTCCACCCTGGGTGACGCAGCAAGACCCTGTGTCCAAAAAACAAAATATTATTCACATTGATCCATAAATGTCGTGGCACCACCACCCGCTAGGCCAGTGCCTCGTTTGCCTCACCCTAATCCCTGCCCTCAATGTCCCCCGTATTTGTGTCCTGAACGGAGGACCACGCAGTCCCAGGCTCCGATCCCCCTTCCTTTACCCGTGGCAACGAGCTCCAGCTGGTCGCTGGGCAGGGACCAGAGGCTTCCGTTCTGGTAGGAGCAGCGGTAGCGTCCAGCCAGACTTCTCTTCATGGCCGGGATGAAGAGGACTGCCTGATCCTGGTACCTGCTGGAACTCAGCTTCTCCAGGCGGTACAGGTCCACGCCCGGAGGTCCCTGGCACCGGAGGGTCACTGGCTTCTCCAGGGGCACCAGGGAGCTGGGCAGAGCCTGGAGGGAGGGCTTGGGGAGCGGTCCTGGAAGAGGAGCAGGGCTGGGTCAGCCTCCCCGCAGACCCCGCCTGGACCCCGCTGCTCCCGCGCTGGCGGATCCCGCAGGAGGGAAGGGGTCTGGGGAAGGACTCACCACTCTGCGCTGGCACACGCCCCAGACACAGCCCTGAGGAAAGAAGAAAGGGACCAGATGCCAGGACTCGCTTTTATGGACATTCCTGCCTGCTGGGCGCGGTGATAAGACATTTGCATGCATATGCTTTACTCTGTCCTAATAATTTCTTCAAAAGACACACAGGAATGTAATTTAAGTGAGAGAAACCGGTCAGAAAAAGCCACATAGTTTATGAGGTCATTTACATGAAATATCCAGAATAGGTAAATCTATAGGAGATGGAGAAGAAAGCAGATCCATGGCTGGGGGTGGTGGGAGAGGAGGGCAAGGCATGGTGGCGTACTGCTCTCTGTGGACTTGTTCGTGTTAGACACGGTGGGCTCGTTCGTGTTAGACACGGTGGACTCGTTCGTGTTAGACACGGTGGGCTCGTTCGTGTTAGACACGGTGGGCTCGTTCGTGTTAGACACGGTGGACTCGTTCGTGTTGTGTTAGACACGGTGGACTCGTTCGTGTTAGACGCGGTGGACTCGTTCGTGTTAGACACGGTGGACTCGTTCGTGTTGTGTTAGACACGGTGGACTCGTTCGTGTTGTGTTAGACACGGTGGACTCGTTCGTGTTAGACACGGTGGGTTCGTTCGTGTTAGACACGGTGGGTTCGTTCGTGTTAGACGCGGTGGGTTCGTTCGTGTTAGACGCGGTGGACTCCTTCGTGTTGTGTTAGACACGGTGGACTCGTTCGTGTTAGACACGGTGGACTCGTTCGTGTTAGACACGGTGGACTCGTTCGTGTTAGACACGGTGGACTCGTTCGTGTTGTGTTAGACACGGTGGACTCGTTCGTGTTGTGTTAGACACGGTGGGCTCGTTCGTGTTGTGTTAGACACGGTGGACTCGTTCGTGTTGTGTTAGACACGGTGGGCTCGTTCGTGTTAGACGCGGTGGGCTCGTTCGTGTTAGACGCGGTGGGCTCGTTCGTGTTGTGTTAGACACGGTGGGCTCGTTCGTGTTGTGTTAGACACGGTGGGCTCGTTTGTGTTGTGTTAGACACGGTGGGCTCGTTCGTGTTAGACATTGCCCATTGACTTCCTCAGTGGATGTGAGGAATGGGACCTGAGACATTGCTGTCCCTTCGTTTCCTCCCTTCAGTCTCCCAATATTAAATAATATCCAAGTACATTACAATAGTATGCAATTGTATAGACAAGTATTGTAAATACTATTGCATATTGTATATTATTGTATTTTATTGTCTATGTAATATATGCGATAAAACCCCACACTAATGGGATGCATTGGGCTCCAAGGATGGAGCAGGATGGAGCCTCAGCGTGTAAGTCAGGACGTCTCAGCATGTGCTGGCCATGGGTTTCCCGGTATTTACAACATTTGCTTGAATCAGTATTCCATGATTACATGATAGGATATAATATATATAATAATCGTTTCAAATAGCCTGAAGGAGGATGGGGAAAGTTCCCAACACAGAAAGGATGCATGTTTGAGAAGATGGGTGTGCTACTTACCCTGATCTGATTACTATATGTATATACACATATAGTGCATATATGTAAACCTACATCTATACATACATGTGTATGTACATATACACGTGTGTACATACACACGTGTATATGTATGTATATGTATATATGTATGCATGTGTGTGTGTGTGTGTGTGTGTGTGTATACATATGTATACAAATACATGTACATAAGCGATCCCCTCCTGGAATTGCTTGAGCCCAGGAGGTCAAGTCTGCTGTGAGGTAAGATTGCACCACTGGCCGGGCACGGTGGCTCATGCCTATAATCCCAGCACTTTGGGAGGCCAGGGTGGGCGGATCACAAGGTCAGGAGTTCAAGACCAGCCTGGTCAACATGGTGAAACACCATCTCTACTAAAAATACCAGAAATTAGCTGGGCATGGTGGCACGTGCCTGTAATCCTAGCTACTGGGGAGGCTGAGTCAGGAGAATCACTTGAACCCGGGAGGCGGAGGTTGCAGTGAGCCAAGATCACGCCACTACACTCCAGCCTGGGCAACAGAGCAAGACTCCATCTCGAGGAAAAAAAAAAATGATATTGCCCCATTGCACTCCAGACTGACAACAGAGCAAGACCCTGTCTCAGAAAACGAAGAGGAGGAGGAAAAAAAAAGTACTAATTATCTGAAATTCCAATTTAACCAGGCATCCAGTGTTTTATCTGGTAACCCTCATTCTTACACACACACACACACACACACACACACAAAGGCGGGATAGTTGTCATTCCCACTGTAAACATAAGGAAACTGGGCAGAGGCCAAGCAACCTTGTGTAGCTCACATAGCAAGAAGTGGGTGAACCCAGCTCATGTCTTGACTCTGAGCTCAGAGAGTGACAACTTGTCACCAGCGCCCCCATAGCCACCACCCTTTGTCCACCCCAGGCTCCCTCTGCACCCCAACGCAAGCTCCGGCCGCTTCTCTGTCCCCCTCCTCCTGCCGCATCACAGCCCACCTCAGCCTCTTTGTAGGTTTCCATGCGACGCTGTACCATGGCTGGGAGTCTTCCAGGCGCCGTGCTGAGCGCCTTCTGTGCATGGACTCCAAGTCGCCATAATCGTACGGGTTACCCACCATTATCAGTCCCCTCTTATACATCAGGCTAGTGAGACAGTATCTTATCCACAGTCCTACAGCTGGCAGGAGTAGATTCAAACCCTAGCAGCACCAATTAGTGGTAAAGAGTGTGGACTTGGGAACTTACAGGAGTAGAGAGCACAGTGGTGGTTACCGGGGCGGTGGGGTAAGGTTTGGGGAGATGTTGGTCAGAGGAGGACAGTTTCAGTTGGACAAGAGGAGTATGTCTTGGAGATCTACTGCACATCATGGTGACTGTAGTTAATAACAACATATTGTACACTTGCATATCACCGATAGTAGATTTTAAATGTTCTCACCGGCCGGGCGCGCTGGCTCACACCTGTAATCCCATTTTGGGAGGCCAAGGTGGGCGGATCACCTGAAGTCAGGAGTTCGAGAGCAGCCTGACCAACATGGTGAAACCCTGTCTCTACTAAAAATACAAAAATTAGCGGGGCGTAGTGGCAGGAGCCTGTAATCCCAGCTACTTGGGAGGCTGAGGCAGGAGAATCGCTTGAACCTGGGAGGTGGAGGTTGCAGTGAGCCAACGTCATGCCACTGCGCTCCAGTCTGGGCAACAGAGTGAGACTCCATGTCAAAAAATAAAAATAAATAAAAATAAATGAGCGTGGAATACTACTCAGCCATTAAAAGGAGTGAAATAATGTCTTTTGGCCAGGCACAGTGGCTCACATCTGTAATGCCAGCACTCTGGGAGGCCGAGGTGGGTGGATCACGAGGTCAAGAGATCAAGACCATCCTGCCCAACATGGTGAAACCCCATCTCTACTAAAAATACAAAAATTAGCCGGGCATGGTGGCGGGTGCCTGTAGTCCCAGCTACTCGGGAGGCTGAGGCAGGAGAATCACTTAAACCCGGGAGGTGGAGTTTGCAGTAAGCCGAGATCACACCACTGCACTCCAGCCTTGGTGAGAGAGCGAGATTCCGTCTTTAAAAAAAAAAAAAAAAAGTCTTTTGCAGCAACTTGGATGGAGCTGGAAGGCATTATTCTAAGTAAAGTAATACAGGAGTGGAAAACAAAAATCTGTATATTCTCACTTATAAGTGAGAGCTAAGCTGTGGGTATGCAAAGGCATGCAGAGTGATGTAATGGACTTCAGAGACTCAGAAGGGAAGGGCAGAAGTGGGGCAGGGATGAAAAACTACACATTAGGTACAAGGTACACTAGTCAGGTGACAGGTGCACTAAAATCTCAGAATTCACCAGAATATAATTCATCCATGTAACCAAGAACCACTTGTATCCCAAAAGCTACTGAAGCAACAAGCCAGATGCAGTAACCTGTACAGGCCACACCTGTAACCCCAACACTTTGGGAGGCCGAGGTGGGTGGATCGCTTGAGCCCAGGAGTTCAAGACCAGCCTGGGCAACATAGCGGACCCCCGTAACTAAAAAAATTACAAAAACAAGCCAGGCATGATGGTGTACAACTGTAGTTCCAGATACTCAGGAGGCTGATGGGGAGGCACTGGTTGAGCCTGGGAGGTTGAGGCTGCAGTGAGCCATGATCATGCCACTGCCCTCCTGCCTGGGTGACAGAAGTGAGGCCCTATCTCAAATAAAATTAAATAAATAAAAGTTAAAACAGGCTGGGTGCGGTGGCTCACGCCTGTAATCCCAGCACTTTGGGAGGCCGAGGCGGGTGGAACCTGAAGTAAGGAGCTTGAGACCAGCCTGGCCAACATGGTGAAACCCCGCCCCTACTAAAAATACAATAATTAGCCAGACCTGGTGGCAGATGCCTGTAATCCCAACTATTCGGGAGGCTGAGGCAGGAGAATCACTTGGACCCGGGAGGCAGAGTTTGCAGTGAGCTGAGATCATGCCATTGCATTCCAGCCTGAGCGACCGACTGAGCGAGACTCCATCTCAAAAAACAAACAAAAAGAAAAAAAGAATACATCCATGGATGGATAATGAATGAGAGGTTGTTTATATTCACAGTTAACCCTCTCATCTCCAGTAATGCAACCATCTTCTTCCTGCTTAGCCTTTTGGAGATGCTGTCCCTTTAGTGGTCAAATTCTGAAGAAATCAGGAAATAATGCATTCGACATGCCCAGCACAAGTGAAGATCAGGCAGCAGAAATGCATTCGACCTGCCACCCATCCATCAGGAGACTATTTACTCCACTACTGTAGGGGATACTGACAAATTAAATCCATACCTAGTCCAGATATCAATTCCACAATTTTTTTTTTTTTTTTTTTGAGACGGAGTTTCGCTCTTGTTGCCCAGGCCAGAGTGCAATGGTGTGATCTTGGCTCACCGCAACCTCCACCTCCCAGGTTCAAGCGATTCTCCTGCCTTAGCCTCCAGAGTAGCTGGGATTACAGGCATGTGCCACCACACCCGGCTAATTTTGTATTTTTAGTAGAGATGGGGTTTCTCCATGTTGGTCAGGCTGGTCTCAAACTCCCGACCTCAGATGGCCCACCCGCCTCGGCCTCCCAAAGTGTGTAAGCCATGGCACTCAGCCTTTTTTTTTTTTTTTTTTTTTTTTTTTGAGATGGAGGCTCTCTCTGTTGCCCAGGCTGGAGTGCAATGCCTGACCTCAGCTCACTGCAACTTCTGCCTCCCAGTTTCAAGCAATTCTCCCACCTCAGCCTCCCACGTAGCTGGGATTACAAGCACCCGCCATCACGCCCGGCTAATTTTTGTAGAGATGGGGTTTCACCATGTTGACCAGGCTGGTCTTGAACTCCTGACCTCAGGTGATCCACCCACCTCGGCCTCCCAAGGTTGAGATTACAGGCGTGAGCCACTGTGCCTGGCCCACATTTTTTAAAAAAGGGGCAACTGCAGTGTAGTAGAACAAAGTTGTGACCAATGCTAGGATACTCTGTTCATTTCCTGACCCAGCCATGAATACACTGGAATAACTCATGCAAAATGCCAGCTCGCTGGCCCCCCGTTTCCCCACCCAACAAATGAAGGGGCTCTTACAGGTTCCTTTTTGTCCTGAAATTCATCACCAATGCAAATTTCTTAAAAATCCTTTGTCTGGCAGTCCATGCCTGTCCTTCAGCATTTCCCAGATCTGACCCTCAGGACTCACCAAGACAGAAGAGGGCGGTCGGGGATGGAGACATGGTTCCTCAGCCCTGTCCTGAGCTCTGTGGCCAGGGAGGGAAGTGGTGGGAGCCTGGGGCACAGGCTCAGGATGTGATGAGGATGAAGAATGCTCTCCTCCCTTCCTCCACCAGCCCCGGCCTTTCCTAATTGAGACTCATCGAGCCGTAGCCGGCTCCTCAGTACAGTGACTTGCACACAAGCTCCAAGGAGCCGCGCTTATCTCCTCTGGCCAGCCTGGCGTTGCACCGTTTGTCCGCCTGCTGGGGCCTGGTCTGTGTTCCCGTGCTCCCATAAACTCCCTGATGTCACTAGGAAAATACGCATCAAAACCACAGTGAGATATGACTTCACACCTTCTGGAATGGCTGTATTTTTTTTTTTTCTTTTGAGACAAAGTCTCGTTCTTTTTGCCCAGGTTGGAGTGCAGTGGCGCCATCTCGGCCCACTACAACCTCCACCTCCCAGGTTCAAGCGATTCTCCTGCCTCAGCCTCCCAAGTGGCTGGGATTATAGGTATGTACCACACCAGGCTAATTTTTGTATTTTTAGTAGAGATGGGGTTTCACTGTGTTGGCCAGGCTGGTCTTGAACTCCTGACCTCAGTTGATCCACCTGCCTCGGTCTCCCAAAGTGCTGGGATTACAGGCATGAGCCACTGCACCCGACCGGCTATAATTTTTTTTAATGGAAAACAGCAGATATTGGTGAGTATGCAGAGAAATTGAACTGCGCGTGCATTGCTGGCAGGGACGTAACATGGCGCCCCTGCTGTGGAAAACAGTTCCAGCAGCTCCTCCAGAAGTTAAACGTGGGATTGCCATAAAATCCAGCAATTCCACTTCGGGGTACACACCTAAAAGAACTGAAAACAGGGTCTCTAACATATTTGTACACAGTGTTCATAGCAGCTTTATTCACAATAGCCAAAAGGTGAAACCACCCACATGTCCATCAACAACAATGGATAAACAACATGTGGTATATACACACAAGGTAATATCAACCAGCCTTAACTAAAAGAATAAAAATCAGCCAGGCACAGTGGCTCACGCCTGTAATCCCAGCACTTTGGGAGGCCGAGGCGGGCGGATCACCTGAGGTCAGGAGTCCGAGACCAGCCTGGTTAACATGGTGAAACCCCATCTCTACTAAAAATACAAAAATTAGCTGGGCGTTAAATTAGCCGGGCATGGTGGCAGGTGCCTGTAATCCCAGCTACTTGGGAGACGGAGGCATGAGAATCGCTTGAACCTGGGAGGCAGAGATTGCGGTAAGCCGAGATCGCACCACTGCACTCCAGCCTGGGCGGCAGAGTGAGACTGTCTCAAAAATAAAAATAAGGCCGGGCGTGGTGGCCCATGCCTGTAATCCTAGTACTTTAGGAGGCTGAGGCAGGCAGATTGCCTGAGCTCAGCAGTTCAAGACCAGCCTGGGCAACACAGTAAAACCCCCAAAAAATACAAAAAAAAAATAGCCGGGCATGGCGGCAGGCACCTGTAGTCCCAGCTACTCCGGAGGCTGAGACAGGAGAATGGCTTGAACCCGGGACGCGGAAGTTGCGGTGAGCCGAGATCGCGCCATTGCACTCCAGCCTGGGTGACAGAGCGAGATTCTGTCTCCAAAAAATAAAAAATATTATAAAAGAATAAATTCAGATACATGCTACAACGTGATGGACCTTGAAGACATTATGCTAAAGGAAATATTCCGGACTTGACAGATAAATACTGCATTGTGCCGCTTATCTGAGGTATCGAGAGGAGTCAAATTCATAGAGACAGGGATTAGAATGGTGGTTGCCAAGGCCTGGGAAAAGTGGGGAGTTACTATTTAATAGGGAGCGCTTAGGTTGAAGATGATGACAAAGTCTGGGGGATCCATAGTGGTGATGGTTACACAACACTGTAAATGTATTTATATTTAATGCCATTGACTGTTTTTTGTTTTTTGGTTTTTTGAGACGGAGTCTCACTCTGTCGCCGAGGCTGGAGTGCAGTGGCGCGATCTTGGCTCACCGCAACCTCCGCCTCCCAGGTTCAAGCGATTCTCCTGCCTCAGCCTCCTGAGTAGCTGGGACTACAGGTGCGTGCCACCATGCCTAGTTGATTTTTTGTATTTTTAGTAGAGACGGGGTTTCACCGTGTTAGCCAGGATGGTCTCGATCTCCTGACCTTGTGATTTGGCCTCCCAAAGTGCTGGGAATACAGGCATGAGCCACCGCGCCCGGCCAGTGCCGTTGACTTGTATGTGCACTTACAGGTGGTTAAAATGAGAACTATCAGGGTGTTGATATCTAAAAACCTCCCTGCCATCATCTTCCCTACATCTCTCATTCAGTGACCATGGTTGAATGCCTGCCACCTTTCAAATATTATGTCAGGCACTCAGTATTGGCAGTTTTATCCATTATAAATGCTTTAAGCTGCATAGAATTTTAAACGTGTTAATAAAAGTAGTTATAAATCTTTAATACATAAGCTGGCTTTAAAATTATTGGTAAAATAAGATTAGAAATGTCTTAAGAATTGTTGGCGTTTTTGTTTGCACTTATTGAACGAGTGGTTTCATGCTTATCCCTGCAGAATACTATGAGATTTGTCATAAGGGTTATAAAACTATAAACCCGGCTGGGCGTGGTGGCTCACGCCTGTAATCCCAACACTCTGGGAGGCCGAGGCAGGCAGATCACCTGAGGTCGGGAGTTTGAGACCAGCCTGACCAACATGGAGAAACGCCATCTCTACTAAAAATACAAAATTAGCTGGGTGTGGTGGCGCATGCCTGTAATCCCAGATACTCAGGAGGCTGAGGCAGGAGAATCGCTTGAACCCGGGAGGCAGAAGTTGCAGTGAGCCGAGATTGCGCCACTGCACTCCAGCCTGGGCAACAAGAGTGAAACTCCATCTAAAATAAATAAAAATAAAACATTTGTTTTTTGTAGAGTTGGGGTTTCACTATGTTGCCCAGGCTGGTCTTGAACTCCTCCTGGGCTCAAGCAATCCACCGACCTCAGCCTCCCAAAGTGCTGGGATTACAAGTGTGAGCCACTGTGCCTGGCCCTATTGGGTCCTTTTAAAAGATACATAAAAAATCAAATGCAACAGTGAAGTCAATCACCCGATGGCAGAAATTGGGGTGCTCCTGGCATGTGGTCGGTCGAAGCCAAGGACACTGCTCAGCATTCTGCAGTGCACAGGACGGCCCCGCCCAGGCGGAGAATGATCCGGTGACACATATAGGTGGGAAGGATGCACGAATGATGGCGTTTAGGAAGAATATTATCACTTCTTTCCCGTAAGAGCAACTTAGAGCAAGAAAATGGTATTATTCTTAGGGCCTTCTCTCTTATGGAGGCTCCAAGCCAGGGTTGCCATGGCAGAAGATGCTGGGCTTGCTTTTTCCTTGAGAGAACTGTACTCAAGATGATGTAACTGTCACCCCGGGTGCCACTTGGGTGCTTTGGAGAAGCGCTCAGACGCGACACGCCGTGACGACTCCGCGGCAGGCAGCCGGACCTGTCCTCTGGCGTGCGGTTCACGGGCTGTGTTTATCCCCCTGGTTCCTTCACAGCCACCTTGGGAAATACGTTGCCTCTGAATCACGCCAGGCAGGCTCTCACTGTGTGTGCTGCGGGGCTGGAAATCAGGGTGACACTCCGCTACCGAACAGCCTGACTAGGAAGCCAGAAAGACGCTGCCGGCTTTAGTTTGTCCTTTGACTTTCCTTGATATGAATGAAGATAGAGCACTTCCACACTGCACAACAGGAAAAGCCCAGAACGCTTCCTGGAGATAGCGAGGGGGTGATGCAGCGGACAGCTATGGCTGATGACCCCCTCACCTCTGACTCCCCCTCCCTCCCTGCTTTCTGAACGCACATCCATCACCAACCATAGGTTCCTGTTTGGGGTTTGCTGGCTGGAAAAAAAAAAAAAAAAAAAAGGAAAGCTGGCTTTCTAGTAAAAACCACTTCCTTTGCTCATTTATCAAACTCAAACGCTAGGAGGGCCACCTAACATCCTCCGTCCCACGCAATGGGGTGTTTCTGGAGCACTCCGGTTTATCAGGGACCCTGTCAGTTGCCATCGCACATGTATATGGGGCCAGCCCCTGTGCCACCGAAGAGGGGGGATATTGAAAACATGTTACAGCCAGGAGCGGTGCCCCCTTGGTTCAAGCAGTTCTTCTGCCTCAGCCTCCCTAATAGCTGGGATTACAGGCGTGCACCATCACGCCTGGCCACTGTTATGTAGTTTTTACCACAATTTAAAAAAGGAAAGAGTGCCTGGGTGAGTCCTACGCACCTATTCGGAGAACCAAAGGCTTTGAGGTTATCCTCGGCCCACCCATCTGATGGGAGTGTTTCTCAAACTTGCTTTTCCGTGATCTCCCAGTAAGAAATACCTACTACACACACACAGTCTCCGGTCGGCATGCTTAGGGTAGTCTTCCAATTCCCCCTCCTGGTATTTACACCCTGGAGTGGTCCGCTCCTCTTGGGCTGAACCTGTAACTTGCTCCCAAGCAAGAGCACACAGCAAGCTCACGCACGTGGTTGTTGGTGTGATTCTGTTTCTCCAGATTGTCTCCATTCCTCCCTGGCTTCTCCACAGGGCCGCTCACCATGGCAGCCGGCTCCATCACCACCAGCCAGCGAGAGGGCAAGACAAGAGGGCTGACGAGGGACGCTACCATCACAGAGGTCAGTTTTGTAACCTAACCACAAGACTAACCTACTGTCACTTCTGCCCTATCCTACTGCTAGAAGCCAGTCGCTACATCTCCCCCACACTCAAAGGGAGGTGGTCGCACCGTGGGGTCCACTGGAAGTTGCCTACCAGACTCAGGTCATCCCAAACACACCCTCTAGCCATTTGGTGTGGCATCGGAAAGAAAACTAAGGCCAGGTACGGTGGCTCATGCCTGTAATCCCAACAATTTGGGAGGCCATGGCGGAAGGGTCACTTGAGCCCAGGAGTTTGAGACCAGCCTGGGCAACATAGCAAATGTTATGTTGCCACCTCTACAAATAATTAGCCAAGTGTGGTGGCATGCACCTGTAGTCCCAGATACTCAGGAGGCTGAGGCAGGAGAATCACAGGTCGAGGTTGTAGTGAGCTGTGACGGCACTGCACTCCAGCCTTGGCAACACAGTAAGACCTCGTCTCTAAAAAAGCAAAAAGGGCTGGGTGCACTGGCTCACACCTATAATCCCAGCACTTTGGGAGGCCAAGACGGGTGGATCACCTGAGGTCAGGAGTTCAAGATAAGCCTGGCCAACATGGTGATACCGTCTTTAATTAGCCAGGTGTGGTGGTGGGCGCCTGTAATCCCAGCTACTCGGGAGGCTGAGGCATGAGAATCGCTTGAACATGGGAGACACAGGTTGCAGTGAGCTGAGATCATGCCATTGCACTCCAGCCTGGGCAACAGAGCGAGACTAGGTGGCTGTTCTGTGTACTGTGGGATATTGAGTAGCATCCCTGGCCTCCCCAGTATCTCAAATATGAAAACATGTTTTCTATCTCGATTACTGAGCTTTTCGGTGCCTCCTTCGGTTCTGCACCTAAGCTAAGAGCCCCTTCATCTCACCCTGATCTCTATCCAGTTTCTAACACAGCAGTCTTGTAAGATGCCCGGACTTAAACGGTTATTTCCTGTGAAACAGGTGAAAGGGGCTTTCATCTCTAAAAAGTCGGAACTTTTTTTTTTTTTTGAGACGGAATCTTGCTCTGTCACCCAGGCTGGAGGGCAGTGGCATGATCTCGGCTCACTGCAATCTCCGCCTCCCAGCTTCACACCATTCTCCTGCCTCAGCCTCCCGAGTAGCTGGGACTACAGGCGCCCACCACCATGCCCAGCTAATTTTTTGTATTTTTTTAGTAGAAACAGGGTTTCATTGTGTTAGCCAGGATGGTCTCGATCTCCTGACCTCGTGATCCACCGCGCCCGGCCAAGTCTGAACTTTTGCATGGCCTGTTGCCCTGGTGATAAACTGATGCCTTGTTTCCTAAAAGGAATAAAGCCATGAGTTGCCTTTGTTCAGCTCATGGGCATTCACCCATGCACAGAGGAAAAATAAAATCTACGACTCGGGTACATTTTCTTCTTTTTTTTTTCTTTTAAATGAGCAAGTTTGAGAGTCTGCAGTTTGGACTACCATGAGAATTGATAGGAAGGTGGGAGTCCCAGGCAATCCCAGGTCCTGTAGCAGCAGCTGGTGGGGTTCCCACTCCATGCCGTGCAGAGCCTGAACTCAGGATGACACCTGCACCTGCTCTCTGGCTGGGCTCTGGCACAGGAAGCCCTCAGCAAACACCCCCGGCACAGCCATGCCATAGCCAGACAACAGCTCGCTGTACCACACCATCATGGGAGACAGCAGTTATTCTGAGCATCTCACTGCTGAAGAAACCAAGGCTCAGAGAGGACCATGCATGCACAAGGTCCCACAGGGACCCAAGAATCCACCAAGTGTCAGACAACTTGCCCATGCTCTTCACGGAGCACCTTGGAACCCTCCCCGACAGGCACCGCTGGCTCTCCTGACGTGGCCTGCAAGTGCACGGAGCCCCTTCCTCCTCGGCCATTCCCAGTTTAGATTCCCAGGGGAAGCATCAGATGGCCCCTCTCCCCTGCTGGCAGCAGAGCAGACGGAACCAGCCAGAGCCCAGGGCAGTGCTCACCTGCAGGCCAGTCCACTGCGGCCAGCACCGCCCCCTAGAACCTACTGCGGGCATGGCGGCCGCCAGTCCTGGGTCTCCCGGCTCAGGTAGTGCCAGGAAGCTGCGGGCATGGCGGACAGCTGTCCTCGGTCTGGAGGCGCCATCCTGGCTTTCAAATCTGCTCCAGAGGTTATCTGGGGAGGGGCTGCTCCCTCACAGAGGGAGCCTCTAAGCCCACCAGGCGGGCACTTTCAGCCCAAAGCCTCCGGGCCACCTCCTCATCCTCAGCCTCGGGGGCCGGGGCCTTCTGTTTGAGTCCATCGAAGTACTTTCCGGAAACATCCGCCAGTTCCTCCGCCACGGCCAGGTATGTGCTGGGCTGGGCGGCCAGCTCGGGGCTCTTGACCAGCAGCCAGAAGATGGGCCCTGCAATCAGCCCACAGGGCATTTAGTCCACACTCGCTCAGAGAGAAGGAAGGAAGCCCCGCTCCCCGGTCAGGGAGCTCCGGGTCCCTGGAGTCCCACAGAGCCCTCCTCTAGCCCTTTCCCCTTGGCTGCCTCCATCTGCAGTTCCCTTCCCTGGCACTGCCCAGGCAAATCCCACCAGACCAGGGATCAGACCAAAAGCTGCCTCCCCCAAGGAGCCTTCCTGGCTTTGTCCAGGAAAATGGAAGCTCTCTTCCTCTTGGTCAGCCCCAGTCCTCACCCTACCCCATTTCTCCTTTAATAACATCTTATTAAATGCACCTGGCACCAGCCTCAGGTTAAGGATCTTTTTTTGGCCAGGCGAGGTGGCTCAGGCCTGTAATCCCAGCACTTTGGGAGGCCGAGGCGGGCGGATTACCTGGGGTCGGGAGTTCCAGACCAGCCTGGCCAACATGGTGAAACCCCATTTCTACTAAAAATACAAAAATTAACTGGGTGTGGTGGCGGGTGCCTGTAATCCCAGCTGCTCGGGAGGCTGGGGCAGGAGAATCCCTTGAACCTGGGAGGCGGAGGTTGCAGTGAGCTAAGATCACACCATTGCACTCCAGCCTGGGTGACAATAGCAAGACTTCGTCTCAAAAAAAAAAAAAAAAAAGGGCTGGGCGTGGTGACTCACGCCTGTAATCCCAGCACTTTGGGAGGCTGAGGCAGGTGGATCACCTGAGGTCAGGAGTTCAAGACCAGCCTGGCCAACGTGTGAAACCCTGTCTCAACTAAAAATAAAAACTTAGCTGGGTGTGGTGGTGGGCGCCTGCAATCTCAGCTACTTTGGGAGGCTGAGACAGGAGAATCACTTGAACCGAGGAGGCAGAGGTTGGAGTGAGCCAAGATTGTGCCACTGCACTCCAGCCTGGGTGACGAGCAAAACTCCGTCTCAAAAAAAAAAAGACATTTATTTATTTATTTATTGAGACCTGGTGTCTTGCTCTGTCACCCAGGCTGGAGTGCAGTGGTGTGATCTCAGCTCACTGCAACCTCTGCCTCCCGGGTTCAAGCGATTCTCCTGCCTCAGCCTCCTGAGTAGCTGGGACTACAGGTGCACACCACCACACCTGGCTAATTTTTGTATTTTTAGTAGAGACGGGGTTTCACCATGGTGGCCAGGCTGGTCTCGAACTCCTGACCTGAGGTAATCCGCCCACCACAGCCTCCCAAAGTGCTGGGATTACAGGCGTGGCTATTAGCCTCGCCAAGTTAAGATTCTTGATGCCAACCAATCACCCACTCCATGTTTTTCAGGATTATAAACACTAGTCATAAAGCATGAACTGCCTGGGGGTGGTGGCTCACACCTGTAATCCCAGCACTTTGGGAGGCAGTTGGATCACCTGAGGTCAGGAGTTTGAGACTAGCCTGACCAATATGGTGAAACCCCACCTCTAGCTGGGTGTGGTGGTGTGCACCTGTAATCCCAGCTACTTGGAGACAGGAGAATCGCTTGAACCTGGGAGGTGGAAGTTGCAGTGAGTGGAGATCATGCCATTGTACTCCAGCCTGGGCGACAGAGCAAGACTTCATCTCAAAAATAAGTAAGTAAAGCTCCAACTGTTTGTTCCACCTATTCTCTGGGCGGGGTCCTGTGCTGGCCCTTTCAAGGAAGGTCTCGTATAACCCCCCCAGTGACTGTGAGGTGAGTCCTATTAAGGCCTGCACTCTGCAGATGAAGAAACAGGCTCAGAGGGGTAACAGCTCTTCCCCAGGAGGTGCAGCTGGTTTGGGGTGAAGCTGGAGTTACCCTGAGTACAGCCTGACTCCAGGCGTCAGCTCCACGGCCTCTTCCTCTGAGACACGGTTTTCTCATCCGCCAGCAGGGCTCTGCCTGCTTCCCGGGGCTGTTAGAGGCTGGCAGGCCAGGTCAACGGAGGAAAGGGACCTGTGCTCTGTGCCTCAGAAGACGTAGGCGAGGAGCAGGCATGAGGCCTCAGGGACGGTCTCTGAGGGAGGGTCCTGGGCCCTGGGCTGAGAAAGCAGGGGTGGAGGGCTCCACGTGGAGACCCCAGGCTGGGAGGGGACTCACCGAGTGTGGTGCTGGAGAAGGTGGAGCCATGGATGCCCGTGTGTCTGCCCAGCTCTGTCCTGGCCACGCCGGGGTGCAGGGCGTTGACAGTCACACCAGAGCCTGGGGAAGAAAGAAAGAGAAGACTGAGGGAGGGGTCCAGCCTCACCTGGGAGGCTGTGGCAGCCCACACCCAGCTGTGGGGCTTCCGGGCACCAGGCTGCTTCCTGCACTCAAACCCCATCGTCCCTCTTGCTCTGGAATCTTAGTGAAGTGGTCTTATCTTGCGGAGCGGCTCTGCCACATGGCTGCTGGGAGCCGAGCTTTCCTGGAGGGCTTCATAAACCCAGAACGCTGAGCTTACCCCGGGAGCCTGCATCGGTGCGTGGCGGTGGGACCTAAGATACTGTAACTCTGACCAGCTCCCAGTGGGGCTGGCACCGCTGGTCCACAGACCGTCTTTCAGAAGCAAAGGCCTAGCACAGATTTCTCAATCTCAGCACTGTGGATGCTGTGGGTTGGGAGGAGTGAGGGGCCATCCCGTGCGCTGTAGGACATTGAGAGCATCTGGGCCTTTACCCTCCAGATGCCCAGAGCAATCTCTCCCCAAGCCAGCTGTGATCACTGTGTTTCCAGGCATTGACAACTGCGGGTCAAAACTGCCCCTGGTTGAGACTCACTGGCTGGAGCCAAAAGGCTGAGCTGCCTGCCCAACAGCAGCAGGGAAGGACATCTGATCCAGGCAGACTAGACCACCTGGGATGAACAGACAATCCTCAGAAGAACGATCGATTAGTGATGTCTGCTTCAGGCACCAGAAGCGGGCAGCGTGGTCCACATGCTCTACTTTTGCTGACTCTGTTCTGGATCCACCGTTTGGCCTCCCATCAGCCTAGGATCATGGAAAGGCCGCTCTAGGCTCAGAGTAAAGCAAGAGGGAGGCCGAGCCTAGCGCCCCCGTACCTTGCAGCCGCCGGCTCAGCTCCTTGGTGAAGAGGACGATGGCGAGCTTGCTCTGGCAGTAGGCGGCTTTGGTGTTATACTTCCTCGTCTGCCAGTTCAAGTCGTCAAAGTCTATGTGCCCAGCAACATGGGCCAGGGACGAGAGGTTGATGATCCGCGAAGGGGCTGAGGCTTTCAGCTTGTCCAGCAGCAAGTTTGTCAAGAGAAAGTGACCTGGATTAAGGATGATGAAAAGGTCACTTTTGACTCACACCTAAAATCCCAGCACTTTGGGAGGACGACGGGGGAGGATCGCTTGAACCCATGGTGCAGCCCCTGCCCAGGCCTCACCCAGGTGGTTAACGCCAAACTGCATCTCGAAGCCGTCCTCGGTGGTCCAGTGGGGGCACCGCATCACACCCGCGTTGTTGATTAGAATGTCCACTCGCTCCTCCTCTGGAAGAGAGGGGTGGAGGAGGAGACATCCCGGTGAGGACAGACCCCAGCCTGATGCACCAGCAGAAACACTCCTGTGCTCCCACAACCTGTGAATGTGGCCTGTGCCGGAAACAGGGTCTGTGCCGAAGTGGCCATGTCAGGATGCGGTCATTAGGGTGAGCCCTAATCCAATGACTGGTGTCCTTATAGGAAGGGAAAACAGAGACAGAGACACATGGGGAGAAGGCCATGTGTGGACAGAGGCAAAGACCGGAGAGGCACAGCTCCAAGGTGAGGGTGGGCCGCCCCCGCTGGAAGTGGAAGAGGCTGGGAGGATTATGGCCCGTCTCACAGGTCACAGCCACAGGGACACCGCGATTCAGACTGCCGGCTTCCGGAACCGTGAGGGAATGCACGTCTGAGGGTGTAAGCCACTGGGTTTGCAGTACATTGTTACAGCAGCTCCAGGACACTCACACGCCCTCCGCACCTCCATCTAAGCCTTGGGACTCCTTCCTGCCGGAGCCCCGAGGCCAAAAACGGGAGGTTACCGGTGGGAGCCCCGGCACCGCAGGCGTGGTTTCATTCCCAAACCTGCCACCTCACTCATACAAGCAACCAAAGGACACACAGATGGAGACTGCAGCCTCAGTTTCCTCAGCTGTAAAATGCGCTGAACCACAGGGCCTTCCTCCCTGTACCACTCAGCTCGGGTTCCGTAACAAAGTGCCACAGACAGGTGGTTTAAAACCTCACAGACCTGGCCGGGCACAGTGGCTCACGCCTGTAATCCCAGCACTTTGGGAGGCCGAGGTGGGCAGATCACCTGAGGTCAGGAGTTTGAGACCAGCCTGGCCAACATGGAGAAACCGCGTCTTTACTAAAAATACAAAATTAGCCAGGCGTGGTGGCATGCACCTGTAATCCCAGCTACTCAGGAGGCTGAGGCGGGAAAATCGCTTGAAACCAGGAGGCAGAGGGTGCAGTGAGCCGAGATCGCATCATTACACTCCATCCTGGGCAATAAAAGCAAAACTCCATCTCAAAAAAAAAAAAAAAAATC
Source organism: Homo sapiens (assembly GCF_000001405.40). Classification (NCBI taxonomy): domain Eukaryota; kingdom Metazoa; phylum Chordata; class Mammalia; order Primates; family Hominidae; genus Homo; species Homo sapiens. The sequence goes on from NW_003571058.2 coordinate 1,031,881, forward strand.
ACAGTCCCAGAGGCTGGAAGTCCCAGATCAAGGTGTGGGCAGGGCTGGTTCCCTCTCAGGGCCCTCAGGGAGGATCCGCTCTGGTCTCTCTCCTTGGCTCACAGGTGACCATCTCCTCTCTCCCTCTTCCCTTCCTCTTCCCTTTGGAGCTGTCTCTTTTTTTTTTTTCATTTTTCCTTTTTTAATTTTAGATTTTTCAGACATGGTCTCACTATGTTGCCCAGGCTGGTCTCAAACTCTTGAACTCAAGCAATCCTCCTGCTTTGGCCTCCCAGAGTGCTGCAATTTCACTGCCCCCAGCCTATTTTTTTTTTTTTGGGGGGGGGAGATGGAGTTTCACTCTTGTCACCCAGGCTGGAGTGCAATGGTGCGATCTTGGCTCACTGCAACCTCTGCCTCCCAGGTTCAAACAATTCTCCTGCCTCAGCCTCCCAAGTAGCTGGACTACAGGCATCCACCACCACACCGGGTTAATTTTTTGTATCTTTAGTAGAGACGGGGCTTCACCATGTTGGCCAGGCTAGTCTCACACTCCTGACCTCGTGATCCACCTACCTCAGCCTCCCAAAGTGCTGGGACTGCAGGCGTGAGCCACCACACTCAGTCTACTTGGCCTATTTTTTATATTTCTTTGAGACAGGGTCTCCCTCTGACACCTGGGCTGGAGTACAGTGGCGCAATCACTGCTCACTGCAGCCTCAACCTCCCAGGCTCAAGCAGTCTTCTTGCTCAGCCTCCCAAGTAGCTGGGGCCACAGGCATGCGCCACCATGCCCAGCTAGCACGTCTGTTTCTGTGCGCAAATCTCCCCTTTTCATAAGGACACCAGTCACTGGATTAGGGCCCACCCTAATGACCTCATTTTCACTTCAGGACCTCTGTAAACACCCACCTCTAAATGAAGTCACATGCTGAGGGATGGGGGTTCAGGATCCCAACCTATCCTTGGGGGTGGAGGACACAATGGAATTCATAATGCTCCCGAAGTGGTTTTCGGCGGGGATCGTGAATTAGGTGTCCAGCGCGTAACACACAGACACCATCTGGTTCTCTGTGTGAGAAGGAGGGGGTTGCAGCACACCCGTCATGAATACCAGCTCTGGAGCAGGACAGACAGGTTCAAAGCCTGGCTCCACCCCGACCAGCTGCATGATCCTGGCCAAGTCACATCACTTCTCTGTGACTCAGTTTACTCCTTGTAAAAAAAAAAAAAAAAAAAGGATAATAACATCACCTGCCTGGTACAACTGTATACTTACTCATTCAGTAAGTATTTTCTAAGCACCTATTACTGGGCACTGGAAATACAGGGTGGACAGCACAGCCGAGGCCCCGTCCGTGTGGACCGGACATTCCAGTGCAGCTGAGAGCCACTTCCACTCGTGAGAGAATCTACCCGTGACAGAGCTGCGTGGAAGCTGACAGGAGGCCCCTCTCAGGAGGTGACGCAGAAACTGGGACCGGGAAAATGAGGCAGGGCCCACGTGCGGAGACCCAGGGAAGGGGGATGCAGGCAGCAGGCGCAGCACGGGTAAGGCCCAAAGGCGGGACAGGGAGACTCCACTCACAGCTGGGCGCCCAGGAGTGCCGCCAGCTTCTGGTGTTTTGTTTTGGTTTTTTTTCTTTTTTTTTTTGAGATGAAGTCTCACTCTGCCACCCAGGCTGGAGTGCAGTGGTGTGATCTTGGCCCATGGCCCACTGCAACCTCTACCGCCTGGGTTCAGGCGATTCTGCTGCCTCAGCCTCCCGAGTACTGGGATTACAGGTGCCCGCCACCGCACCCTGCTAATTTTTGCATTTTTAGTAGAGACGGGGTTTCACCATCTTGGTCAGGCTGGTCTTGAATTCTTCACCTCGTGATCCACCCGCCTCTGCCTCCCAAAGTGCAGGGATTACAGGTGTGAGCCACCGCGCCCAGCCTGTTTTTTTTTTTTTCTTTTTATGAGAGGGAAGCTCACTCAGTGGCCCAGGCTGGAGTGCAGTGGCGCGATCTCAGCTCACAGCAACCTCCGCCGCCAGGGCTCAAACGATCCTCCCACCTCAGCCTTCCACATAGCTGAACCACAGGCGCCCGACACCACAAGCAGCTACTTTTAAAATTTTTTGTAGAAATGGGGTTTGGCTATGTTGCTTAGGCTGGTCTCGAATTTCTGAGCTTAGGCAATTCGCCCACCTCGGCCTCCCAAAGTGCTGGGATTGCAGGCGTGGGCCACAGTGCCTGGCCTGTTGTTTTGTTTATCTGGGAACTGCCTCAACTTTTTTTTTTTTTTTTTTTTTTTGGACACAGGGTCTCACCCCGAGTGCAGTGGTACAATCAAAGCTCACTGCAGGCCGGGCGTGGTGGCTCACATCTGTAATCCCAGCACTTTGGGAGGCCGAGGCGGGCAGATCACCTGAGGTCAACCAGCCTGACCAACATGGTGAAACCCTGTCTCTACCTAAAACAAAAAAGTAGCCGGGCATGGTGGCAGGTGCCTGTAATCCCAGCTACTCAGGAGGCTGAGGCAGGAGAATTATTTGAAACCAGGAGATGGAGGTTGCAGCCTGACCAACAGGAAGAAACCCCGTCTCTACTAAAAATACAAAATTAGCCGGGCGTGGTGGCGCATGCCTGTAATCCCAGCTACTCGGGAGGCTGAGGCAGGAGAATCACTTGAACCCAGGAGGTGGAGGATGCCGTGAGCCAAGATCCCGTCATTGCACCAGCCTGGGCAACAAGAGCAAAACTCCGTCTTAAAAAAAAAAAAAAAAAATCCCTCACTGCAGCCTCAACCTCCCAGGCTCAAGCAATCCTCCCACCTCCACCTCCCAAGTAGTTGGGACTACAAGTGCACACCATCACGCCTGCCTCATTGTTTTTTATTTTTTTTTTGAGATGGAGTCTCACTCTGTCACCCAGGCTGGAGTGCAGTGGCGCCATCTCGGCTCACTGCAAGCTCCACCTCCCGGGTTCACGCCATTCTCCTGCCTCAGCCTCCCAAGTAGCTGGGTTACAGGTGCCCGCCACCACGCCCGGCTAATTTTTTTGTGTTTCTTAGTAGACACGGGGTTTCACCGTGTTGGCCAGGATGGTCTCGATCTCCTGACCTTGTGATCCGCCCGCCTCAGCCTCCCAAAGTGCTGGGATTACAGGCGTGAGCCTGCACGCCTGCCTGATTGTTTTGTATTTTTTGTAGAGATGAGGTCTTGCTATGTTGCCCAGGCTGATCTCAAACTCCCTGATAAACAAGGCTGTGGGTACCTGCTTCCTGGGGCTCTTTGCTTTGTGTTCTTTCTAGTCGGGAGCTGGGAAGAGCCACAGCTTCCAGCTTTGTCAGAGTGTCATCTCACAAACTGATCTTCCCAAAACTTCTGTCTCCCAAAGTGCCGGGATGACAGGCGTGAACCGCTGCACCTGGCCTGCCCCAGTGTGGTAGAATACACACCACATAAAATGGACGATCTTCACTATTTTTAAATCCACTGCTGTCTTTATTCCTGGCTGTTGATCTTAGGAAAACACCAAGAAGCTGGTACTTGATTTGCTAAAAAAGTCACAGACACAGCTTTACTTAATCCTCTAGAGAGGCTGGGCGTGGTGGCTCATGCCTGTAATCCCAGCACTTTGGGAGGCCGAGGTGGCTGGATCATGAGGTCAGGAGATCGAGACCATCCTGGCTAACACGGTGAAACCCCGTCTCTAGTAAAAAATATAAAAAATTAGCCGGGCGTGGTGGCAGGCGCCTGTAGTCCCCCGCCACTCGGGAGGCTGAGGCAGGAGAATGGCATGAACCCGGGAGGCGGAGCTTGGAGTGAGCCGAGATGTGCCACTGTCCTCCAGCCTGGGCGACAAAGCAAGATACCGTCTCAGAAAAAAAAAAAAACCCCTCTAGAGAATCCCAGAAAATAGAAGGAATTATTCCATTTCCCGGAAGAGGAACGTGTGGCTAAGAGAGGAGGCATCACCTGCCCAGGTGTGTCCAGCCGGGGTCCTCACTGTCTCAGGGACCTCAGTGCTCCGGACACCTGTGTCCACAAGCCAGAGACAGGATCAGAGGCGCCCTGGGTGGGATTGCCTGGGACAGTGTGCATGAAGGTGACAGTGCTGTACCTGGTACACAGCAGGTGCTTAATAAATGTTCATCCACCTCTGAGACTCTGAGGCATTGCCCTCTCACTGTTCTTTGTGATCTCACCGTAGTGCCTCTCACCTACCCGACAACAGTGCCGGCTCTTTCTTGATCCCCAAGGGCACAGCAGGGGCTCAGTATGAATGAATGAATGAACCAACGAATGTGCACCTGCACCTGCCTCCCTAGGGCTGTGAGTGGCACAAGGACAGCTCTGGTTCATCTCACACCTCCAGCACCTGGTCAGGTCTGAGATCACGTCTGCTAAATAAATGAGGTCCCACAACTCCCCCATTCCTTGTTCATTTCCTGAGTACCCGTTTACTGAGCGGGGCACATTGACTCTGAAGAAGAAAGCTTTGGCCCTTTCAGTGCCAGACTAGAAAAGAAACAAAGCAGCTGGGCATGGTGGCTCATGCCTGTAATCCCAGCACTTTGGGAGGCTGAGGCAGGCGGATCACAAGGTCAGGAATTCGAGACCAGCCTGGCCAACATAGTGAAACCCCGTCTCTACTAAAAATACAAAAATTAGCCGGGCATGGTGGCACCCGCCTATAGTCTTGGGAGGCTGAGGCAGGAGAATCGCTTGAACCCAGGAGGCGGAGGCTGCAGTGAGCCAAGATCGCATCATTGCACTCCAGCCTGGGTGACAGAGCAAGACTCCATCTCAAAAAAAAGGTCTTGCTCTGTCATCCAGGTTAGAGTGCAGTGGCACAAATACGGCTCACTGCAGCCTTGAACTCTCGGGCTCAAGTGATCCTCTTGCCTCAGCCTCCTGAGTAGCTGGGACTGTAGGCACATGCCAGGATGCCCGGCTAATTTTTTTTTTTTTTTAATCTTTGGTACACACAAGGTCTCACTATGCTTCCTAGGCTGGTCTCTAACTCCTGAGCTCAAGCAATCCTAAGAGAAGAGATTTTAAATGTGGTCACCACAAAAACAGGTAAGTATTTGAGGTAATGCATATGTTAATTAGCTTGATTTAGCCATTCTACAATGTATACAATGTACATCATGCTGTACATAATATATACAAGTATACATGTCAACTAAACAATAAATAATTTTAGTGTATTCTTGAGTCTATTTAAAGATGAACAAGAATAGAAAAGCTAGAGGATGGTCCCAGTTTTACATAAAAATATATAAATACACACACAAACCTATTATAAACAAGACTAGAAAGATCCATAAAAGTGATTCTCCTGGGGCTGGTGCAGATCAAAGTTGTTTAGTTCTGTCTTCTTTTTTATTGAGACAGAGTCTCACTCTGTCACCCAGGCTGGAGTGCACTGGCACAATCTCAGCTCACTGCAACCTCCGCCTCCTGGGTTCAAGCAATTCTCCTGCCTCAGCACCCTGAGTAGCTGAGATTACAGGTGTGCACCACCACGCCTGGCTAATTTTTGTATTTTTAGTAGAGACAGGGTTTCACCATGTTGGCCAGGCTGGTCTCGAACTCCTGACCTCAAGGGATCCACCTGCCTCAGCCTCCCAAAGTGCTGGGATTAACAGGCGTGAGCCACTGTGCCCAGCCAGTTCTGTCTTCTTTACATTGCAGTATTTTATAAATGTCCCATAACAAACACATATTTCTTTAACCATGGTGGGGAAGGCACTTGATCAATAAATGCTTAATAAGGTCAGGTGCGGTGGCTCACGCCTGTAATCCCAGCACTGTGGGAAGCTGACCTGGGTGGATCACTTGAGCCCAGGAGTTGGAGACCAGCCTGAGCAACATGGTGAAACCCCAGCTCTAAAAACAAAACAAAACAATAAAACAATAATTAGCTGTGTGTGGTGGCGTATGCCTGTACTCCCAGCTACTTGGGAGGCTGAAGTGGGAGGATCCCTTGAGCCCAGCAGGTTGAGACTGCAGTGAGCCATGACTGCACCACTGCACTCTAGCCTGGGTGACAGAGATGGATCCTGTCTCAAACAAACTAATTATTCAGGTAGGGCACGGTGGCTCACACCTGTAATCCCAGCACTTTGGGAGGCCAAGGGAAGCAGATCACCTGAGGTCAGGAGTTCGAGACCAGCCTGACCAACATGGTGAAACCCTGTCTCTACCTAAAACACAAAAAATTAGCCAGGCACGGTGGCGGGTGCCTGTAATCCCAGCTACTCAGGAGGCTGAAGCAGGAGAATCATTTGAAATCGGGAGACGGAGGTTGCAGTGAGGCAAGATCACACCACTGCACTCCAGCCTGGGCAACAGAGCGAGACCCCATCTGTCTCAAAACAAACAAACAAAACAAAGTCAGCCGGGCGCAGTGGCCCACGCCTGTAATCCCAGCACTCTGGGAGGCTGAGGCAGGAGAATCACCTGAGGTCAGGAGTTCCAGACCAGCCTGGCCAACGTGGTGAAACCCCGTCTCTACTAAAAATACAAAAATTAGCAGGGTATGGTAGCAGGCATCTTAATCCCAGCTACTCAGGAGGCTGAGGTCCGCGCTTGAACCCAGGAGGCAGAGGTTACAGTGAGCCGAGATCGCGCCATTGCACTCAGCCTGGCCGACAGAGTGAGACTCCCTCTCAAAATAACAGTAGTAATAAATAAATAAAGTCGTTGCTTGCAGGCTGTACAAAAAAAGGCAGCAACTGGACTTGGCCCCTAACTCATAGTTTGCCAAAACTCTGCTCTAAAGTTTGCTTGCTTCATTCACTTCTCAGAGCCTGGCCCTGGGAGCCGCCTATCCCAGTCCTCATCCCACATGGCCAGCGTTCTCCTACCTTCAATGATCTTTGCTGCAAACTCTCGGATAGACTTGAGGGAAGCCAAGTCCAGGTGCCGGGCGTTGACATGGTGATTGAGGGTCTCCCCGCGGATGTCCTTTGCTGCCGCCTCACACTTCTCCATGTCTCGGCAGGCCAGGATGATGTTGCCTCCTGAAAACCCAGGATGGAAAAAGATTTAAATTAATAATCCACTCCTGGGTACTGACCCCAGAGACATGAAAACATACGTCTACACAAAAACACATCCACCAATGTTCACTGCGGCATTCTTCACAAAAGCCAAAAGGTAGAAACAACCAAATGCCCATCTGTGGATGAAGGGACAACAAAATGTGGTCCATCCATAGAGATGGAATATTAGACGGCCGTGAAAAGGAGTGAAGCACTGGCTCATGCTACAGCAAGGATGACCGTCAGAAACACTGTGCTCGGGGAAAGAAACCAGACACGAAAGACCACACAGCGTACAATCCCATTTACATGAATTCTATGTATATGATTTCACACCTATGAAACGCCCAGAATAGGCAAATCCATAGAGAAAGAAAATAGATTCTTGGTTTTCTAGGGCAGGGGGTGGGGAGAGGGAATTACAGCTTGATAGTTACAGTGAGCAGGTTTCTTTCTAGGGTAACAGATGTTCTAAGATTGATTTTAAAGATGGTTGCATCATTCTGTGACTATACTAAACATCACTGAATTGGTCGGGCACGGTGGCTCACACCTGTAATTCCAGCACTTTGGGAGGCCAAGGCAAGAGGATTCCCCATCCTCTCCTTTTTTTTTTTTTTTTAGATGGAGTCTCACTCTGTCACCCAGGCTGGAGTGCGGTGGCGCAATCTCGGCTCACTGCAACCTCCACCTCCTGGGTTCAAGCAATTCTCCTGCCTCAGCCTCCCGAGTAGCTGGGATTACAGGCACCTACCACAACTAGCTAATTTTTTATTTTTTTATTTTTAGTAGAGACAGCGGTTTCACCATGTTAGCCAAGCTAGTCTTGAACTTCTGACCTCAGGTGATCCACCCCGCGGCCTCCCAAAGTACTGGGATTACAAATAAGCCACAATGCCCAGCCTCCAATTTTTTTTGTTGTGGTAAAATACAAATCACTTAAAATTTATCATCTTAACCCCCTTTTCTTTTTGTTTATTATTATTTTTTTTTTTTTGAGTCAGTCTCACTCTGCTGCCGCGGCTGGAGTGCTGGCGCCATCACAGCTCATTCAGCCTTGAACTCCTAGGCTCAAGTGACCTGGGACTATAGGTACCACCTGTGCCAGCATGCCTGGCTAACTCTGGTAGAGATGGGGGTGTTGCTATGGTGTCCAGGCTGGTCTGGAACCCCTGGCCTCAAGTGATCCTCCTGCCTCAGCCTCCAAAAGTGCTGGAATTATAGATGTGAGCCACCGAGACCCGCCCTCTTAGCCATTTTTAAGTGTCCAGTTCATTGGTATTAAAAACATTTATGGCTGGGCCGGGCATGGTGGCTCACACCTGTAATCCCAGCACTTTGGGAGACCAAGGCAGGTGGATCACCTGAGGTCAGGAGTTCAAGACCAGCCTGGCCAACACATTACAAACTTAGCTGGGTGTGGTGTTGCATGCCTGTAATCCCAGCTACTCGGGTGGCTGAGGCAGGAGAATTGCTTGAACCCGGGAGGCGAAGGTTGCAGTGAGCCAAGATCATGCCACTGCACTCCAGCCTGGGCGACAAGAGCAAAACTCCATCTCAAAAAAAAAAAAACAATAATAATAATTCCTAATGTTGTGCAACCATTACAACCATCCATCTCTCAAATTGTTTCATCTTGCCAAACTAAACTTCCGTTTCCATTAAACAGTAACTCCCCATTCTCCCCTCCCCTCCTGACCCCTGGCAAGCACCATTCCAACTTCTCTATGAATTTAACTGTAGGTAGCTCCTGTAAGTGGAATCATACCGTATTTGCTCTTCTGTCGACTGGCTTATTTCACTTCATGGAATGTCCTCAAGGTTCATCTGTTTCAATGCCCTTTTTTTTGTTTTGCTTTGTTTTGTTTTGTTTTTGAGTCTCACTCTGTCACCCAGGCTGGAGTGCCGTGGCGCCATCTCTGCTCACTGCAACCCCTGCCTCTCAGGTTCAAGCGATTCTCCTGCTTCAGCCTCCCAAGCAGCTGGGACTACAGGTGCCCACCACAACTCCTGGCTAATTTTTGTATTTTTAGTAGAGAGGGGGTTTCACCATGTTGGTTAGGCTGGTCTCGAACTCCTGACCTCGTGATCCGCCAGCTTTGGCCTCCCAAAGTACTGATTACAGGCGTGCACCACCGCGCCCGGCCAGAATGCCCTTCCTTTTTAAGGCTGAATCATATGCCCCTGTCTATAGAAGCCACATTCTGTTTCCCTGTTCATCTGTGGATGGGTGCCTGGGTTCCTTCCACCTCCGGACTGTGAATAATGCTGCAGTGAGCATGGATGTACAGATATCTCTCTGAGAGCCAAAGCAGGGGAGATTTTACCTCTCCTGGCCAGTTCCAAGGCGGTCTGCTTCCCGATGCCTGTGTTGGCACCCGTCACGATGACCGTCTTCCCAGGGATGGTGGCCTTGCTGGGGCAAGCCCCACCGGTGACATAGTCCCTGAGGGTGAGAAGCGGCACGGTCAGTCCTGTGGGCCCACTCTCACCCCACGTGCCCCTGACTGAATGATCTCAGGCAACCTTGTCTGAGCTCACTCACATACCCCAACTGAAACACAGACATCATCACATCACACCAAGGGACCTCTGTCATGTTCTCCATAAGTGGCTCCACCCAGTGTCTGGCGTGTGGAACGCCTTCAGCAAGTGACAGTCATTATTTTATAAATGCTCACTGCATGAGATTCCCGGCCAGGTGAGGGGGCTTGCACCTGTAATCCCAGCACTTTGGGAGGCCAAAGTTTTGGGGGTGGGGGGGGGCGGGGGCGGATCACTTGAGGTCAGGAGTTCGAGTCCAGCCTGGCAAACATGGCGAGACCCCGTCTCTACTTAAAATACAAAAATTAGCCAGATGTGTAGGGAAAAGAGAGATTAGACTGTTACTGTGTCTATATAGAAAGGAAAGACATAAGAGACTCCATTTTGAAAAAGACCTGTACTTTGAACAATTGCTTTGCTGAGATGTTGTTAATTTGTAGCTTTGACCCAGCCACTTTGACCCAATCTGGAGCTCACAAAAACCTGTGTTGTATGAAATCAAGGTTTAAGGGATCTAGGGCTGTGCAGGAAGTGCCTTGTTAACACAATGTTTCCAAGCAGTATACTTGGTAAAAGTCATCGCCAGTCTCTAGTCTCAATAAACCAGGGGCACGATGCACTGCAGAAAGCTGCAGGGACCTCTGCCCTTGAACACAGAGTATTGTCCAAGGTTTCTCCCCGTGGGATAGTCTGAAATATGGCCTCGTGGGATGAGAAAGACCTGACCGTCCCCCAGCCCAACACCCGTAAAGGGTCTGTGCTGAGGTGGATTGGTAAAAGAGGAAAGCCTCTTGCAGTTGAGAGAGAGGAAGGCCACTGTCTCCTGCCTGACCCTGGGAACTGAATGTCTCGGTATAAAACCTGATTGTACATTTGTTCAATTCTGAGACAGGAGAAAAGCCGCCCTATGGCGGGAGGCGAGACATGTTTACAGCAATGCTGCCTTGTTATTCTTTACTCCGCTGAGATGTTTGGGTGGAGAGAAACATCAATCTGGCCTACGTGCACGTCCAGGCATAGTACCTTCCCTTGAACTTAATTATGTCATAGATTCTTTTGCTCACATGGTTTTTGCTGACCTCATTATCACCCTGCTCTCCTACTACATTCCTTTTTGCTGAAATAATGAAGATAATAATCAGTAAAAACTGAGGGAACTCAGAGGCCGGTGCCGGTGCAGGTCCTTGGTATGCTGAGCGCCGGTCCCCTGGGCCCACTGTTGTTTCTCTATACTTTGTGTCTTATTTCTTTTCTCAGTCTCTCGTCCCACCCAACTAGAAATACCCACAGGTGTGGAGGGGCAGGCCACCCCTTCACAGGCGTGGTGGTGCACACCTGTAATCTCAGCTACTCAGGGGGCTGAGGCACGAGAATTGCTTGAACCTGGAAGGCGGAGGTTGCAGTGAGTCGAAATGGTGCCAGCCTGGGCAACAGAGCGAGACTCTGTCTCAAAAAAATTTAAATTTAAATTTAAAATGCCCGCTGCACGAGATTCCCAAGGCTGCTGTACGCATTACCACAGACTTAGTGGCTTAAAACCACATAAGTGCATCCTCCTCCAGTTCGGCAGGTCAAGAGTCCAAAACATGTCTCACTGGAATAAATCAAGGTATTGGTAGAGTCAGGTTCCTTCTGGAGGCTCTAGGGAAGAATCCACTTCCAGCTCCTACAGACCGCCACATTCCTCCACTCTTGGCCCCGCCTCCATCTTCAACCTGCATCCTCACTGGAACCTCTCCTTTATTTATTTATTTATTTACTTATTTATTTTTGAGACAGAGTCTCGCTCTGTCGCCCAGGCTGGAGTGCAGTGGCTCAATCTCAGCTCACTGTAACCTTCGCCTCACAGGTTCAAGCGATTCTCCTGCCTTAGCCTCCTGAGTGGCTGGGATTACAGGCACATGCCACCACACCTGGCTAATTTCTTTTGTATTTTTAGTAGAGACAGAGTTTTACCACGTTGGTCAGGCTGGTCTCGAACTCCTGACCTTGTGATCCGCCTGCCTTGGCCTCCCAAAGTGCTGCGATTACAGGCGTGAGCCACCACACCCAACAACCTCTCCTTCTATCTTCCATCTCCCCTCTGACTGAGCCTCCTGCTCCCTCTTATAAGGACCCTATAAGACTACAAGGCAGGACCGGCACAGTGCCTCACACCTGTAATCCCAGCACTTTGGGAGGCCAAGACAGGAGGATCACTTGAGGTCAGGAGTTCGAGACCAGCCATGGCCAACATGCTGACACCCCATCTCTACTAAAAATACAAAAATTAGCAGGGCTTGGTGGTGCACGCCTGTAGAGTCAGCTACTCGGGAGGCTGAAGTGGGAGGACCACCTGAGCCCAGGGAGGGTGAGGCTGCAGTGAGCTGTGACAGCATGACTGCACTCCAGCCTGGGTGACAGAGAGACCCTGTCTCCAAAAAAAAAAAAAGACTACATGATAATCATAAGATCCTTCACTTGGCCGGGCACGGTGGCTCACGCCTGTAACCCCAGCACTTTGGGAGGCCAAGGTGGCCAGATCCCCTTTGGTCGGGAGCTCAAGACCAGCCTGACCAACATGGAGAAACCTCGTCTCTACTAAAAATACAAAATTAGACAGGCGTGGTGGCACATGCCTGTAATCCCAGCTACTCAGGAGGCTGAGGCCGGACAATCGCTTGAACCCGGGAGGTGGAGGTTGTGGTGAGCCGAGGTCGTGCCATTGCACTCCAGCCTGGGCAACAACAGCGAAACTCTGTCTCAAAAAAAAAAAAGATGCTTCACTTAACACATCAGCGAGAACCTCTGACACGTGAGGTAATGTCGTCACACCTTCCGAGGATTAGGACGTGGACCCCTCTACGGAGTCACGACTCTGCCCACCACACCCATGTCCCACAGAGGCTAACGCTGGCAACAAGATAGTGTCCAGCAACAGGAGGCTGAGCAGGTAAACAGCACTGCACCCACAGGAGAGAAGGGCACCATGCAATACAGTGGCCACCAGCCACAGAGGCTAATTTTTAAGAAAGTTTAAATTAAGTAGGCTGGGCGAGGTGGCTCACGTCTGTAATCCCAGCACTTTGGAGGCCGAGGCAGGCGGATCACCTGAGGGCAGGTGTTTGAGACCAGCCTGGCCAACATGGCAAAACCCCGTCTCTGCGAAAAATACAAAAATTAGCCGGGCGTGGTGGCGCACGTGTGATCTCAGCTCCTGGGGACGCCAAGGTGGGAGGATCACCTGAGCCCAGGAGGTCAAGGCTGCAGTGAGCCAAGATCGCGCCACTGCACTCCAGCCTGGGCGACAGAGCCAGATTCTGCCTTTAAAAATAAACGAACAAATAAATAATACAAAACAACAAAATAAAGAGTTTAAAAGTCTGGAAGGAAAGCAACATTTACAAGGGCCCAGGCTCGCCCTTCCCTCCGAGTGACCTTGGGCCGGTGACCTGGCCGGCCAGAGCGCAGGTTTGCCCCACTCCGGGCGGGCACTGCGGGTCGGGAGCTACGGGGCCTGGACCCGGGTGCGAGGGGCGGGGGTCTCCGCCGCCTTCCCGGCCCCTGCGCTGGGGGCCCGCCTTGACCGCGCACGCGGGGCTAGAATGTACTCACTTGAGCAGCACGGCGGCGCCTGCTACCGTGCCCAGCGCCGACAGCGGCAGCAGGTAGCGGCTCATGCCGGGCCGGGGACAGGCGTCAGGCGTCAGGGGTCGGCGCGGAGCTTGCTGCACACCAGCCGCCTGGGTAGCTCCGAGGAAGAGCGCGCGACGCAGCCACAGGCGAGCGGAGGCGCAGGCGCGGCTGGGCCCGCGTCCGGAACTGGGCTGCGAGGGGCGGGGCGCGGGCGGAGGGGGCGGGGATCCTAGGGACGGGACCTATGAGCATCGGTCCTGAGCGCTGTCACAGCTGGGATTGGTGGTTTCAGGAGCCTGTGGGCGTGGCTAGTCCGGGGGCGGGGCCTATGGTTTGTTCGAATGACGTCACACTTGCCGCAGCGTATAAGGCGCTACGCAGTTCTGGAGTGAAATAGGTTCGAATCCCACCACTGTCAATTCCAGACTGTGACCCTCTGTGTGTCTTTCAACTATATCAGCCTATTCCCTCATCTGGAAATGTGTGTTTACCTTCTTCATAGACTTTTGGAGATAATTTGAGAATTTCCATGCACAGAAACAAGGATCTAGTAGCCTGTGGGTACCCAAGCTCCTGGGGTCCTGCAGGAGAAGGCGGCTGGGGGCCTGGACTCCTGGGTCTGAGGGAGGAGGGGCTGGGGGCCTGGACTCCTGGGTCCAAGGGAGGAGGGGCTGGGAGCATGGACTTCTGGGTCCGAGGGAGGAGGGCCGGGTGCCTGGACTGCTGAGTCTGAGGGAGGAGGGGCTGGGGGCCTGATTCATTCCCAAATTATCAGAATCTCATCCCCATGTCTGGCCCTGCACAGAGATATCTTCCCTGAACTCTGCCTGAACTACCTTTCTTAGATTGAGTATTGCACACACTCCTGCACTTACCTGTCCATGTTTGTCACCCCCACCAAACCGGGATGCACCTCTGGGCACCTGCTTCCCCTTGCACTGCTCACAGCGAGTGTATCTGATCACCACCTCCTACCCCTGACTGTGCCTGAGGTGCCAGGAGCAGACACCGCTGGAAACAGGGAAGAATTCAACCCAATCTAACTAGGAGTAAGTTTTCTTCCTCATCAGATGAACTGTCATCTTCTTATATGAGCCCTGCCATAATGGAGATTATACAGGCAGGAAGAGCTATTTTAAGACCTTAGTCAATGGCCGGGCACGGTGGCTCACGCCTGTAATCCCAGCACTTTGGGAGGCCGAGACAGATGGATCACGAGGTCAGGAGATTGATACCAGCCTGGCCAACATGGTGAAACCCTGTCTCTACTAAAAATACAAAAATTAGCTGGATGTGGTGGCACTCACCTGTAGTCCCAGCTACTCAGGAGGCCGAAGCAGGAGCATCACTTGAACTCGGGAGGTGGAGGTTGCAGTGAGCCGAGATTGCCCTACTGCATTCCAGCCTGGCGACAGAGTGAAATTCTGTCAAAAAAAAAAAAACCTTAGGCCTGTAGACCTTAAGCTCTCACCATCTCAAACGTATTAAACCAGTTACACAATGCCAAATGCTGTATAAGAGGCACTTGGAGGAGTCAAATTCATAGAGACAGAAAACAGAGTGGTGGCTGCAGGGGGCTGGAGATGAGATTGGGAAGTCACAGGATTTGTTTTTGTTTGTTTGTTTGTTTTGTTTTGTTTTTTGAGAGACAGTCTCACTGTGTCACCCAGGCTGGAGAGCAGTGGGCGATCTCAGCTCACTGCAACCTCTGCCTCCTAGGTTCAAGCGATTCTCCTGCCTCAGCCTCCCGAGTAGCTGGGGCTACAGGCACGTGTCACCACACCCGGCTAATTTTTGTATTTTTAGTAGAGACGGGGTTTCACCATGTTGGCCAGGTTGGTCTCAAACTCCTGACCTCAGGTGATCCACCTGCCTCGGCCACCCAAAGTGCTGGGATTACAGGCATGAGCCACCGCACCCGGCCGGGAAGCTGTTTTTTAATAGATACAGAGTTTGTTTTGCAAAATAAAAAAAAGACCTGAAGGTGGACGGTGGTGATGGTTGCACAACAATGTGAATATACTTAACATCACTGAATTGTACACTTAAAATGGTTAAGATGGTACATTTTACTTTATGCATAGTTTACCAAACTAAAAATAAAGAAAAATTTTAGACTGGGCATGGTGGCTCATGCCTGTAATCCCAGCACTTTGGGAGGCCAAAGTGGAGAATAGTATGAGCCCAGGAGTTTGAGAGCGGCCTGGACAACACGGCAAAACCTTATCTCTACAAAAAATACAAAAATTAGCAGGTTTGGTGGCACGCATCTGCACCCTCAGCTACTTGGGAGGCTGAGGTGGGAGGTCTGCTTGAGCCCAGGAGGTCAAGGCTATGATGAGCTGTGATTGTGCCACTGCACCCCAGGCTGGGTGACAGAGCAAGACCCCATCTCAAAAATAATAATAATAAATGTTTACATTTAATAACATGGGCAATTGGTTCAGATGTTCATTTTCTCAACCTTGAAAAAAAAACAACACTGTTTTTCCCTGTCTTTTTCTCCTTTTCTGTAAACTGAAATCCTAATATCATTGACTTCCAGGACAGAGATCAGCAAACTTTTTCTACAAACAGCCAGATAGTAAATAATTTCAGCTTTGTGATCCACACAGTGGCTGTTGCACCTCCTCTGCCAGAGGAGCTGGGAAGCAGCCACAGATGATGTGAAAACAAGTGAGCACAGCTGTGTTCCCATAAAACTTTATTTATAAAAATAAGCAGTGCGCCACAGTTCGCCAGCTCCTGTTTGAGAGTCTCTCTCCGATGCCCAGGCTGGAGCGCAGTGATGCAATCTCAGCTCACTGCAACCTCTGCCTCCTGGGTTCAAGCGATTCTCCTGCCTCAGCCTCATGAGTAGCTGGGATTACAGGCGCTCGCCGCCACACCTGGCTGATTTTTGTATTTTTAGTAGAGACGGGGTTTCACCATGTTGGCCAGGCTGGTTTTGAACTCCAGGCTTCAGGTGATCCACCTGCCTCAGCCTCCCAAAGTGCTGGGATTACAAAGCGTGAGCCACTGCGCCCAGCTACCTGTCATTGAATTTGGAAGGATGGCATGAAGTCATTCATAACAAGGACTTAATCCATAGTAAGTGCCAGAACATTGCTGGCTGTTAATATGGTTATTATAAAGAGAACAATGCATGCATATTCCTCCTCTGAGGATCTCCTACCTGATTCCCAGACACACCCAAGGGAGTTAGAACATCTGTTTGGACTCCAGGTGGGCTGTCCACGCCTTTACCATTTTCCTGGTTGTTAACATGTTCCTGATCAGCACTGGGTGCTGTCCCAGGTGCTGAGAGGATTCTCCCACAATGCCCTTTGCTTTCCCCATCAGAGGGTTTATGGCACCCAATTCTCATTCACATTCTGTCTCTCCTTTCTCGTTCTTCTCTATCTCTCCTCTCTCTGTCTCCTTTTCTCTTCCTCTCTCCCTCTCTGTCTTCTCTCCCTCTCTCTCCCTCTCTCTTCCTCTCTCTCTTCCTCTGTCCTCTTTTCTCTCTCTCTCTCCCTCTCTCTCACATCTCTCTTTCCCTTCCTTTCTCTTTCCTCTCTCTTCCTCTCTCCCTCTCCCTCCTTCTGTCTTCCTCTATCCCTCTCTTCCTCTTTTTTCTTCCTCTCTTCTTGTCTCTTTCTCTCCTCTCTCTCTCCCTCTTTCTCTTTCTCTCTCTCTTCCTCTCCCTTCCTCTTCCTCTCTCTCCTTCTTTCTTCCTCTCTCTCTTCTTGTGTGTGTCTCTCTCTCTCTGTTCTCTCTCTCCCTCTCCCCCCAACTCTCTTTCCCTACACACATCTTAAGAGGCCTCAGCAGTGTAAGGTAAGTTTAGCGACCCTGTGGCTGTGTAGAGATAAGCAAAGGGGGGCAAGGAGCTCCAGTGGTCCCAGACTCCAGCCATTTGAGTCTTTGCAGCCCAAGCACTGCCCCAGCTTCTTGACAGCCCCAGCCATCACCAAAGGGCACACAGATAAGCTGCCTCCACCAAGGCCTGTGCAGATGGTAGGTTTTTGAGTAAAATAGATATGATCCTTGTCTGAAGCCACTGAGTTTTAGAATAATTTGTTATATGGCCATAGTAACTGGAATGATTGCTGTAGGTTTATTTTATTTTATTCATCCTTGCTGCATGCAACACATGCATGGCTCAGTAACTAGAAGGAAAGAAGAGAAGAAGGGAGGGAGAGGCAGAGGGTGGACAGGAGAGGATGGTAGGAAGGAAAGACAGGAAAGGAGGGTGTTGGTGGCCTTGCCTGCAAGCTGAGCAGACACCACGCAAACAGGTGACCTCCCAGTTAAGATGGAGGGGACTCAGGGCTCAGGAGGGGCAGAAGGTCCCCGTGTCGGAGAGCTGGGCAAGCTTTCTGCAGGAAATGATGGGGATCACGGCCATGTGAGCCGGCAAGATTTCCCTCAGCCAGGGAGGAGACTCCGGGCTGTGGGAACAGCTTAAGCAGAAGGCATGGGACAGGAATGCATATGAGAGATATTGTGGGAGGAGGGAGGGCTGCCTGGGCTGGCATGCAGGGTATGGGAGGGGGTGGAAGGGCTGAGGCGGGAGCCATCAGTAAAAGGACCCAGAGCGCGGCTCCAATGCCATGGTAGGAAGCTTGGCGTTGACTCAGAGGGCGCTGGGTACCGCTGAAGAGTGTTGAGCCAAGGAGGGTCATGTCACGGGCAGATACATGTTTTAGAATTTCTTCTTTTCTGGCTGAGATGTAGAGTATGGACTGGAGAGAAGCACAGGGGACATAGGAAAGGTAGTTCTAGAAAGAGGGGCTGTCCCACCAGGGAAAGTCAACCAACTGTTCCCCAGTATCCATTCCTCCCTTCCAGCTCATGGCACTAAAGCCACTGATTGATTAGCTGGGTGCTATCAATCTCTCTCTCATCTCTCTCTCCCTCTTTCTCTCCCCCTCATCTGTGTCTTTTCTCTCTCTCATCTCTCTGTCTCCCTCTTTCTGTCCCCCTCCTCCGTGTCTCCTCTCTCTCTCTTCTCTGTCTCATATCTCTCTCATTGCTCTCTCCCTCTTTCTCTCCCCCTCCTGTGTCTCCTTCTCTCTCTCTCTTTCTCCCCCATCTCTCTTTCTCTCCCCCTTCCTCTCTTTCTCCTCTCACTCTTCCTGTTTCTCTCTTTCTCTTTCTTCCTCTCTTTCTCCCTGTCTCTCTCTTCCTCTTTTCCTTTGTCTCTCTCTCTCCCCCCAACTCTCTCTCCCTACACACATCTTGAGAGACCTCAGCAGTGTAAGATAAGTTTAGCTACTCCACGGCCTGGCACGGTAGCTCACGCCTTTAATCCCAGCACTTTGAGAGGCCAAGGCAGGCAGATCACTGGAGATTAGGGGTTTGAAACCAGCCTGGCCAACATGGTGAAACCCTGTCTCTACTACAAGTACCAAAAAATTAGCTGGGCATGGTGGCACGCGCCTGTAGTCCCAGCTACTCGGAAGGCTGAGGCAGGAGAATCGCTTGAGCCTGGGAGGCGGAAGTTGCAGTGAGCCGAGACCACACCTCTGCACTCCAGCCTGGGTGACAGAGTGAGATTCTGTCTCAAAAAAAGAAAGAGGAGGCCGGGCACTGTGGCTCAGGCCTGTAATCCCAGCACTTTGGGAGGCCGAGGCATGCAGATCACGAGGTCAGGAGATCGAGACCATCCTGGCTAACACAGTGAAACCCCGTCTCTATTAAAAATACAAAAAAATTAGCCAGGCACGGTGGCGGGTGCCTGTAGTCCCAGCTACTCGGGAGGCTGAGGCAGGAGAATGGCGTGAACCCGGGAGGCGGAGCTTGCAGTGAGCCGAGATCGCGCCACTGCACTCCAGCCTGGGCGACAGAGCAAGACTCTGTCAAGAAAGAAAGAAAAGAAAAGAAAAAAAGAAAAGAATAAAGGGAGGGAGGGAAGGGAAAGGAAGGGAAGGAAGGAAGGAAGGAAGGAAGGAAGGAAGGAAGGAAGGAAGGAAGGGGAGGGGAGGGGAGGGGAAGGGAGGGAAGAAAGGCAGGCCCTGATGTTCAGGGAGCTGAGAGTGAAGTCACCGGCTCCAACCCAGGATCCAAACTCAAGTCTGTCTGGGGTCCTATCCCCGTCACCACCCCCCGCCCCGACCCATCCCCCAGAGACCTGGGAAGGAGCCAGGCTCCTCCGGTTTCAGGAAAGGGCTGCACAAACCACCCCGCCACGATCCCTCCCAGAGAACAAACAGCTCCCGGCCACCGGCAGTCTCCCTCCTCCTCCTGCCAGGCTGGTTCCCAGACCCACCCTCCCTGTGTCATAAGCGCCTCTCCCCGCACTCTCACCAGGGCTGGCTGTTCTCAGAGGAACGCCCAGGAAAAACCTACCCGAACCCCTTTCAGCTGGGAAGGGGACCCGCCTGGGCTTCCTCACCGCCGATGAGACCTCCCTCGTCGTACACTTAGAGCTGCCTGTGTTTTCCTTCCTTCCTTAAGCGGGCTGGGAACTCTAGACACTCAGGGATGGGCCAGCCCATTAGAGTAAGCATTCGGCCACCTCTAGGCTGCTACGGTCACTGCTGCTGTCACCATCAACGTGACTGTCTCACACCTCACTTCCTCCGGCCAGCCACACCCCTGCAGATTTAACCCGCCAGCCTCCCTAAGGTTTCCTCTGCCTGAAATCCTCTCTGCATTCCTGGCTCATTCTCGAAATTGAGGTCAAAGCTCAGATGCCGCCTCCTTCCCTGACCACCCTACCTGAAGCAGCCGCACCTGCCTGCTCCTAGTCACGCCGTTCCTTCACCTGTTTCGTTTCCTCCACAGGGTTTACCACAATCTGAAAGTCTTATTCATGCAGGTGTCTACTTGTTTATCTCCCCACCACACCTACTAGGATGACAATATCACAAGGGCTGGGGTTTCATCTGTCTCCTCCTCCTCTGTATCTCCAGCACATGAAACATGCTTGGCACACTGTAGGTGCTTAAGTATTTGCTACTACATCACTTTGGGATTTTGCATAGGACACTCCCAATGCTTAGAATGTCAATCTTTGCTTCATTGTCCTTGGCAAACTCCTATTCATCCTTTGAAACCCCATCCATTTATCCCTTAACCAGGAAAGGCTTCTGTGCCTCATACAACCACCCATAAAGCTGGATTAGGGCTTTCTCTGGGGACACCCTTGCCCTGTGCCACACTTCCATTAGCGCACATATCCCCCATGAATTGTGCACACCAGCAGGGTCTAGAGTACGGCACACATTTTGTCTCAGGAGCTACGTATTGAATAAATAAATTAATTACTTTTTTTGAGACAAGGTCTTGCTCTGTCACCCAGGCTGGAGTGCAGTGGTGCAATCGTGGCTCACTGTACCTTGACCTCCCAGGTTCAAGCAATCCTCCCACCTCAGCCTCCCAAGCAGCTAGGACCACAGATGCAGGCCACTATGCCTGGCTAATTTTTAATTTTTTTTTTGGTAGGGATGGAATCTCCCTATGTTGCCCAGGCTGGTTTCAAACTCCTAGGCTCAAGGGATCCTCCTGCCTCTGCTTCCCAAAGTACTGGGACTATAGGTGTGAGACGCCACACTCAGCCTCATTATTTAATATGTAAGTAGCTATATCTCTCTGAGACCCAGCCCCATCTAATTTATAACCTCCCTCCTTCTCAAGAACATGCCTCAGCTCCCATTGCCAGGGAATCTGACCTTTCTCCTTGTCATAGGATTTTTTTTTTTTTTTGAGTCAGAATCTCAGTCAGTCACCCAGCCTGGAGTGCATGGCGCAATGGCTCGCTGCAACCTCTGCCTCCCGGGTTCAAGTGATTCTCCTGCCTCAGTCTCCCTAGTAGCTGGGACTACAAGCGCACGCCACCACACCCAGCTACTTTTGTAGAGATGGGGTTTCACCATGTTGGCTAAGCTGGTCTCGAACTCCTGATCTCAAGTGATGGCCTCCCAAAATGCTGGGTAACAGGTGTGAGGCACCACATCCGGCTGTCATAGGAATTTGTCAGCAAATCCTACAGACTAGAGGATGTGTGTTGGGTGGTGTGGGGGTGGGGATAACGGAGGAGATGGGGGGTGAGCTCTTCAAGCCCCAGGGGAGAATTCTGTTCCGTTCCTGGGACATCCCAGGTGAGAGGGAAGAAAGGCCAGCCCCCCAAGACAGCTATCCCAGACTGGGACAGAGGCAAACCCTGACCACAGAGCCCTGTCACTCACCCAAGAACAGGTGCCAATGACAGAATAGCCAGGCCGAGGGGGGAGAGAGGTGCTTCGGTGATGGATTTCCCTGGTGACTTGCCAAGACAGGGCTTTACTGCCTCCGCCCTGGACTGGCTGAGTCAGACTGTGCAGGGGTGGACACTTTGACTGGTATTTGGGAGGCATTTGCTGTGGGTTACAGAGAGGGAGGGGCCTCCTTTGCGGCCAGAGAAGGAGGAAAGAGGCCCTGGGCCCTGGGACTTGGGACTTGGGTGGAGGCTCGGGTTTCGGTCTCACCTGCTGCTCCAGACCATGGCCTGGAGGGCCGCCTGCGCCACCCCCAAAGCAATGAGATAGCCCCTCCTCCCTCAGACCCAGGAGTCCAGGCCCCCAGCCCCTCCTCCCTCAGACCCAAGAGTCCAGACCCCAGCCCCTCCTCCCTCAGACCCAAAGGCCTCGGACCCATACCAAATGCTTCTATGAGATAGTTTTCTCCCCTTGTTCATGAAGAAATGAGCCCAGGCCCAGTCAGATCTGCATCTGTGTCACAGCCCAGGGCCACTGTAACCTTAGGCTACTGACTTCCCTCTCTGAGCCTCTGTTTTCTCCTGTCAATGGGGCAAGGGGTCTGCTCCTTCCCTCAAACCCCAACTCAGGTACAGTCAAGCACAGAAAATACTTGTGGCATGAATGTGATGAGAACACAGAATTGCAGAAGCCAAAGAAAGAGAAGCGTAAGGGCCCTCCTTCCACCCCTACCTCCCCCACCCGCTGCTACACGCACCAGGACCACCTGCTGGGTAGCCAGGAGCTCACAGTCTAGCCCCGCTGGCCACCCCTGCAGCCCCCATCCTTCACTCAGGCAGTTGCAGGGCCCAGAACACCCCTATCTTCTAGGATTGACACTGGCTGTCAAACTCATCCTTCAAGGTGATTCCTGGCCTGCCCTCCTCCTCCAGGCAGCCTGTCCTCCTCCTCCAGGCAGCCTGTCCTGACCCTCAGCAGCCTCTCCTGGCCTTGGCAGAGCCCCTCGTGTCCTCCCTTGCAGCACGCATGGGAAGAAAGGCCATCGTCCTCGCCATTGCTAACACCAGCCTTGCGTTTCCTCTTTGCCAGGTACTGTATTGACAACTCTCTATAACCTGACTTTATCCTCCCAATAAGCTGGGTGTGGTGGGTGGCTCATGCCTGTCATCCCAGCACTTCGGGAGGATAAGGCAGGAGTATCACATGAGCCCAGGAGTTGGAGACCAGCCTGGGCAACATAAGGAGACTCTACTATATATATGTGTATATATATTTATATATAGTCTGAGATGGGAGGATCACCCCAGTAGGTCGAGACTGCAGTGAGCTGTGATTATGACACTGCATTCTAGCCTGGGCCACAGAACTAGACCTTGTCTCAATTAAGAAAAAAAATGGGGATAATAGGACCCATTCCATAGGATGTGGTGAGGATTATGCATACACACACACACACACACACACACACATTTATGATGTACTGAGAAGATATAAGCACACAATAAGTATCTCCAAAATTATCAAGTGGCAAAGCCAGGATTCAGACCCACACCTGCCCGAGGCTCTCTGCCATCAGACCACACTATATCTCTTTCTCTCTGTTCCTTCATCCCCATCAATCGAAGGCAAAAATGTGCCTTCTCTGATTTCCAGGCTCACTCAGCATAGACCGTGGAGGCAACATATCTTGAATGAAGCAACAAAGCAGTAATGCACATGAATGCACCAAATGCCAAAAGCTCGTTTACTCAACAAGTATCTCTCCAACACTTTCTATGTGCTAGACCCAATTCTGTGTGCTGCAGATTAAGTGGAGGACTGATCACACAAAAATCTTTGCCCTTGTGAAGCTTGCATTTTTTTTTTTTTTTTTTTGAGATGGAGTCTTGCTCTGTCACCCAGGCTGGAGTGCAGTGGAGCAATCTTGGCTCACTGCAATCTCCACCTCCCGGGTTCACGCCATTCTCCTGCCTCAGCCTCCGGAGTAGGTGGGACTACAGGCACCCACCACCAAGCCTGGTTAATTGTTTTGTATTTTTAGTAGAGACGGGGTTTCACCATGTTAGCCAGGATGGTCTCAATCTCCTGACCTCGTGATCCACACGCCTCGGCCTCCCAAAGTGCTGGGATTACAGGCGTGAGCCACCACACCCGGCCGCTTTTTTTTTTTTTAAGATGGAGTCTCGCTCTGTCACCCAGGCTGGAGTGCAGTGGCACGATCATCTCGGTTCACTGCAACCTCCACCTCCCAGGTTCAAGTGACTCTCTTGCCTTGGTCTCCCAAGAAGCTGGGATTACAGGTGTGCACCACCAACTCTGGCTAATTTTTTTTTTTTTAGTAGAAATGGGGTTTTATCATGTTGGTGACATGGTGTGATCTCGGCTGACTGCAACCTCCACCTCCGGGGTTCAAGCAATTTTCTTGTCTCAGCCTCCCAAGAAGCTGGGATTACAGGTGTACACCACCACCCCCGGCTAATTTTCATATTTTCAGTAGAGACGTGCTTTCACCATGTTGGCCAGGTTGGTCTCGAACTCCCAACCTCAAGTGATCAATCCGCCTCAGCCTCCCAAAGTGCTGGGATTACAGGCATGTGCCACCGTGCCCAGCCTGTGAAGCTTGCATTCTAACGGAGGAGACACAGACAAAATGAACCAGGAACACAGTGGGTAAGAAGGTGAAAAGTTCTCCACACAAAAATGAAGTAGGGAGAGAGGAAAGAGACTACAAAGAAGTTGGGTTGCCGGGGGCGGTGGCTCACACCCATAATCCCAGCACTTTGGGAGGCCGAGGCGGGCAGATCACGAGGTCAAGAGATCGAGACCATCCTGGCCAACATGGTGAAATGCTGTCTCTACTAAAAGTACAAAATTAGCCGGGCGTGGTGGCGCGCGCCTGTAGTCCCAGCTACTCAGGAGGCTGAGGCAGGAGAATCACTTGAACCTGGGGGGGCGGAGGTTGCGGTGAGCCAAGATTGCGCCACTGCACTCCAGCCTGGGCAACAAGAGTGAAACTCTGTCTCAAAAAAAACAAAAGAAGTCGAGTAAGGGATGCCGCCATTTGAAACAGGGTGGTCAGCCAGTCCTCTGAGAAGGTGACATTCAGGCAAAGATCAAAGGAGGCAAGAAAGTGAGGCATGAGGGTATCTGGTAGAAGAGCATTCCAGGCAGAGGAAACAGCAAGTGCAAAGGCCCTGAGGCAGGACCGGGTCTGGATGTTCCAAGAGCAGCAAGGAGGCCAGTGTGCTGACACACAGAAGGAAGAGATGAGATCAGAATCACGTCCCTTAAGGCCTTGCAAGATGTCAGCTTTTTTTTTTTCTTCTTTTTTGAGACAGAGTCTCGCTCTGTCGCCCAGGCTGGAGTGCAATGGCGCAATCTCGGCTCACTGCAAGCTCCGCCTTCCAGGTTCACGCCATTCTCCTGCCTCAGCCTCCCGAGTAGCTGGGACTACAGGTGCCCACCACCACGCCCGGCTAATTGTTTGTATTTTTAGTAGAGACGGGGTTTCACCGTGTTAGCCAGGATGGTCTCGATCTCCTGACCTCGTGTTCCACCCGCCTCGGCCTCCCAAAGTGCTGGGATTACAGGTGTGAGCCACTGCGCCCGGCCTGTTTTCTGTTTTTTGAGATGGAGCCTCGCTCTCTTGCCTAGGCTGGAGTGCAGTGGTGCAATTATCGGCTCGCCGCAACCTCTGCCTCCCGGGTTCAAGTGATTTTCCTGCCTCAGCCTCCTGAGTAGCTGGGATTACAGGCACCCGCCACCACACCTGGATAATTTTTGTGTTTTTAGTACAGATGGGGTTTCACCATGTTGGCTGGGCTGGTCTCGAACTCCTGTCCTCAGGTGATCTGCCTGCCTCGGCCTCCCAAAGTGCTGGGATTAGAGATGTGAGCCACTGTACCCATGCAAGTTTCTTAACCCTTCTCTTCCTCATTTTCTCATCTGTGAGACGAAGACAGCCTCCCACCCAGACACACTCCCCTCACGGGGCTCTGGGGAGAAATGATGTGGAAAGCTTTGCTAGTAACCTCTACAGCATGGAGGGAGTTCTGGAAAAGTGATTTCAGAAAGGTGTTTATGCCTGGAAAGCCTGTTCATTTTTGTGATGTCCTTGGAGCTGGGCCAGGCATTATCGAGCTAAATCTTAGCTTTTGTCAGAATAGGGGGGTCATTGAGGGAAATTTCCAAAGGAAGGTGGAACGGGATGGGTGGGGAGGTAAGGGCATGAGCAGAGGCAGTGATCGTGGGCAGGAGGTGTCCATAGAAGACGGGCTGCCACTGGCCCTGGAGACAGAAGGTCAGCCCCGGGTTCAAATCCCTCCTTAACCAAGTGCTGAAATGGACAAGTTGCTCAACCTCTCTGGCCTTCAGCTTCCTCATCTGTCAAGCAGGAATCAAACCTCGAACTTCCTCCCGCTGTTAGAATTTCAAGGGAGTTTTAAAGACAGAGCTTTCAACTCTGACCTGTGAACAAGTGTGACATCAAATGTACTGTTCGTTGCTATTATTCTGTTGCTACAAGGCAGACAGTTAGTTTCCCAGCTCCCCTGCAGTCCCCCCAGCCCCTCCTAGATCTGTCTGCCAGCCCCGCCCCGGGGTCACTCCAGCCAGGCTGTGCCAGGTGAATGCTCAGGTATGCGGAGGCGGAGGCGGAGGCAGGACGGCCCTGGGAGGGAGCAGGAGGAGGGGCCGGCAGCCTGGAAGGGAAAGGACAGCGGAGAGCAGGGCAGAGCCTGAGCAGGCAGGTAAGGAGATCCGGGTCAGGAGAGAAGGGGGCCGGGGCTTGACCAATGGGTCTGAGGGACGGGGGGACTGGGGTCTGGACTCCAGGGTCTCAGGGAGGACGGGCTGGGGGTCTGAACTCCCGGGTCTGAGGGAGGAGGGCCTGGGGTCCTGGACTCCTAGGTCTGAGGGAGGAGGGGCTGAGGGCCTGGACTCCTGGGTCTGAGGGAGGAGGAGATGGGGCCTGGACTCCTGGGTCTGAGGGAGGAGTGGACTGGGGTCTGGACTCCTGGGTCTGAGGGAGGAGGGGACTGGGGTCTGGACTCCTGGGTCTAGGGAAGAGGGACTGGGGCCTGGACTTCTGGGTCTGAGGGAGGAGGGGCTGGGGGCCTGGACTCCTGGGCCTGAGGGAGGAGGGGCTGGGGCCTGGATGCCTGCATTGAGGGAGGAGGCTGGGGTAGGAATTAGAGGCTCCTACTGGCCAGGCCTTCACATGTTTGCTGGCTCCCAGGGCACCTCCAGGTGGGCAGGA
This sequence comes from Homo sapiens, assembly GCF_000001405.40. Classification (NCBI taxonomy): domain Eukaryota; kingdom Metazoa; phylum Chordata; class Mammalia; order Primates; family Hominidae; genus Homo; species Homo sapiens. Next base: position 1,058,501 of record NW_003571058.2, read on the forward strand.
GCTACCACTCAGCACCATGAGCACCGCCACAGGGTAAGCGCCCCCGGACCCCAGGTCCCAGCCCCAGCACGCCTCCCGCCTCCCCTCGCCTCCTCACCCACACCCGCTTGCGGCAGCCCAGACTGTTTGCGGCGGCCCAGACTCTGGCCCAAGCCCCGACACTCAGGAGGAAGCCAGAGCCTCTCTCCTCCCTGCCCAGCCTGGGGTTAGGGGCCCCCACTGCAGAGCAGACAGGCCTGAGCTCCAGTTCGGCCCTCACACTCAGTGCTGATGTAACCCTGGTCAGAGGACATCACCTCCTGGAGCCTCAGCCCCTCCTCTGTGACACAGGGACAATGTTGAAAAATTGGAGGGATAGTGCATTACAGGACTTAGCTGACCACCTCACTGACAGCAGGTGCTCAACTCATAGGAGTCGCTATTGCGATTGTTATGTTGTTAGTAAATATTAACCCTTTGCTAGAAAATCAGGGCTGTTTATAATGAAGACTCAAGTCCCCCAGAGTAAGCAGGGAGAAAAACAATGAGAGATGAGTCAAAATACCTGCATGGTAGGTAGTGAGCTCTCTGGCCCAGAGGTAATCAAATTGTGGTGACATCAGACTGGCAGGAGCAGGATGAGGAACAGGAGTTTGGGAAAAAGGGTTTTTCAGTTCCCCTGACGCCACCTGATCGCTGAGCTTCTGTTATGTGCATGCAAGTGGGGATTCAAGAATTCTTAGGAAAGGTAATCTTAGGAAGAAATTGAGGACGGGAGGAGACAGAGAAGGATGTGGTTGGGAAGCACCTGGCCCATGGGAGTGGGAGGGGAAGCAGATAATTCCCTGTCTACTTCAGATACCACTAATGCTATTATAACCATTCCCATTTATTGAGCAACTTCTGTGTGCTAAGCCCTGGCAGCATCTTAAGAATGATAATAACAGTTATTGAGGCTTCAAAATACTTCACCTGCATCATCTGACTGAATTTGCCCAACAGCCCTACCAGATGGTTACTACGTTACAGAAAGAAAAACTGAGGCAGGAGAGATTAAATCCTCTTCTGAAGGTCTTATGGCAAGGAGGCAGTAGACAGAGGGTTTGAATCCCGGACTATGCCATGGTAGAGATCACACTCCCCTACCACCCAGCACCACCGCCTGACCTGACCTGTCTTTTTTTTTTTTTTTTTTTTTTTGAGATGGAGTCTCACTCTGCTGCCAGGCTGGAGTGCAGTGGCACGATCTGGACTCACTGCAACCTCCGCCTCCCAGGTTCAAGTGATTCTCCTGCCTCAGCCTCCCACGTAGCTGGCACTACAGGCGCCCACCACCACACCCAGCTAATTTTTGTATTTTTAGTAGAGACAGGGTTTCACCATGTTGGCCAAGATGGTCTCAATCTCTTGACTTTGTGATCCGCCCACCTCTGCCTCCCAAAGTGCTGGGATTACAGGCGTGAGCCACCGCGCCCAGCCTACCTGTCTTCTTAAAGTCCAGCTCTGGCTCTGAGCTCTCCTGCTCAATAATAATAATAATAATAATAATAATAATAATAATAATAACCCTTCCATCGCTCCCCATTACCTTCGTCATGAAGCCCTTGCTGCCCTGCTTGGCATTTCCACAGGATCTGCCCCCAGTCCCACAGTCTCTCTCATTCCTCTTTTCTTCACCAGCCCAGAAGCTGCCCCAAAGCCAAGCGCCAAGTCTATCTATGGTGAGCGGGGGGCAAGGGAGCCCCAGGCCCATAGAACTGGGTCTAAAGAAACAGGACCTGGCATCCAGGGTCTTGGAGGAGGAGGGGCTGGGGGTCTGGACTCCTGAGTCAGAGGGAAGAGGTGCTGGGGGTCTGGACTCCTGGGTCAGAGGGAAGAGGGGCTGGGGGGCTGGACTCCTAGGTTTGAGGGAGGAGGGGCTGGGGGCCTGGACTCCTGAGTCAGAGGGAAGAGGTGCTGGGGGCCTGGACTCCTGGGTCAGAGGGAAGAGGGGCTGGGGGGCTGGACTCCTGGGTCAGAGGGAAGAGGGGCTGGGGGGCTGGACTCCTGGGTCAGAGGGAAGAGGGGCTGGGGGGCTGGACTCCTGGGTCAGAGGGAAGAGGGGCTGGGGGGCTGGACTCCTGGGTCAGAGGGAAGAGGGGCTGGGGGGCTGGACTCCTGGGTCAGAGGGAAGAGGGGCTGGGGGTCTGGACTCCTGAGTCAGAGGGAAGAGGGGCTGGGGGGCTGGACTCCTGGGTCAGAGGGAAGAGGGGCTGGGGGCCTGGACTCCTGGGTCAGAGGGAAGAGGGGCTGGGGGCCTGGACTCCTGGGTCAGAGGGAAGAGGGGCTGGGGGTCTGGACTCCTGGGTCAGAGGGAGGAGGGGCTGGGGGGCTGGACTCCTGGGTCAGAGGGAAGAGGGGCTGGGGGCCTGGACTCCTGGGTTTGAGGGAGGAGGGGCTGGGGGCCTGGACTCCTGGGTCAGAGGGAAGAGGGGCTGGGGGGCTGGACTCCTAGGTTTGAGGGAGGAGGGGCTGGGGGCCTGGACTCCTGGGTCTGATGGAGGAGGGGCTGGGCCTGGACTCCCAGGCTCATTCTCTTTCTCCCCTGGCAGAGCAGAGGAAGCGTTACTCCACAGTTGTTATGGCTGATGTATCCCAGTACCCAGTCAATGTGAGTCTGGGGTCTGTGTTCCCCCAGGACATCTTCTGGGGCAAAGGTGGCCTCAGGAGATAGGGCTTTTGAAAGCAGCTAGGCCCCCAAGCAGGAAGCATGTGGAAAGTCAGTTTGCCCATCCATAAAATGGACCTCCGTTGCCTCACCTCAGTCATGGATATGAAGCCAGGGGCCTCGGGTCCACTTAATCTGCCAGCCTTTCCTCCAGGCCAGCTGTTGTGCTGGACAGTGGGACCACGGAGGCAAATCAAGACACAGCCCTGCATGAGGAAGGGGTAGACAAGGTCCAGAGGAATCCACAGAGGCGCCTGGTGCTCTAATGGAGGTGGCAGGGGGCATGGCAGGAGACCCGAGGAGGCATTTAGAAGGAGAGAGCTATAATCCAGACTCCTTCCCTGCCCGCAAGGAGCCTCCAGTCTGTGAGAAGCCAGACTCAGGTGCTAGTCACTCTGATGAAAGGGAAACAAAGGGCACTGGGAGGAGGAGCTGATTTGTGGAACAGGTGATCAAGGAAGGCTTCCTGGAGGAGGTGTGGTTAGTCTCAGGCTGAAAGTCTGATTATTCTGGGGGATTCTGAGCCCACCTGGCATCATCTTGGGCCTCACTGCTTTCTCCATGGTCCGTACCAGCACCTGGTGACGTTCTGCCTGGGTGAGGACGATGGCGTGCATACCGTGGAGGATGCCTCCAGGAAGTTGGCCGTCATGGATAGCCAGGGCCGAGTCTGGGCACAGGAGATGCTGCTGCGAGTGTCTCCCGACCATGTCACGCTGCTCGACCCGGCCTCCAAGGTGCCGGGGGGCACGTGGGTGGGAGGAGTGTCTGGGGCAGGGACTTCAGGGGGTCTGGGTGTGAATCTTGGCTCCTGCACGTCCTTCCTCTGGGAACTCTGGCGAGGGACCCCAGCCCCCTTCTTGAGCCTTAATAGCCTCATCTATTAAACAGGGCTGTTATCCCTAACCCCCTAACCGCCTGAGGTTGCCCTGACCTGCTGGCCCACACTCCCGTCGCCATTTAGTAGTACCATCATTTCGGGGCCTCAGTTTACCCCGCCATCCCACCCGGCAGGAGGAGCTGGAGTCGTACCCACTGGGCGCCATCGTGCGCTGTGACGCGGTGATGCCACCCGGCAGGAGCCGCTCGTTGCTGCTGCTCGTGTGCCAGGAACCCGAGCGCGCGCAGCCCGACGTGCACTTCTTCCAGGGCCTGCGCCTCGGGGTGAGCAGATGGGCTGGCTCTGGGGGTGGAGCTGGAACTGGGCGGAGCCTGGAGCCGGGGCGGAAATGGGTGGGGCCTCTAGGTGGGGCGGGGCCTGGGGCTAAGGCGGGATCAGAGCAAGGAAGGGCAGGGGACCTGGGAAGGAAGTTCTGGAAGGCAGTGGGGTTTGAGATTGGACCCAGGGTCAAGATAGAACATGAAGGTGGGATGAGGACATGAACAGAACATGGCCAAGAAGGATCTGGGGGAGCAGCCAGGACGAGGTGGGGGCGAGGAACCACCCGGACTGGGTCTCCATGGGCGGGGTCGTGGCTTAGGGCAGGGACAGGTGTAGGGCGAGGGGTGAGTTCGGGGCGTGGACGTGCGTGGGTTCACAGGTGTGAACGGTAGCCGCACGTGGGCTGGGACTGAGCTGAAAAATCGGCCAGGGGCGAGGCCCGGGTAGGAAGTGGGTGCGGCGTGGGGAGGCGTGGCCTGACGGTGTGATTGGCAGGCGGAGCTGATCCGAGAGGACATCCAGGGGGCTCTGCACAATTACCGCTCGGGCCGCGGGGAGCGCAGGGCGGCGGCGCTCAGGTGAGAGGGAAGAAGTTGGCAGGGTCTCTGGGAAGCCGGTTTCCCCTCCTTGTGCCTCAGTCTACAACACCAGCCTGGAACAGAACAAGAGTTTTGCATGGAGTCAAGCACACCCTAGTCGAGTCTTGTCTGTACCTCCCAGACGAGCTGACCCCTTCTCCAGAACTCTGCTTCTTTTCTCTGTTCCCTGTCCAGGCCCTCAGTTTCACTCTAGAGAGGTGCTATCCCTCCGTATATCGGATTTCTCCCTACCTCGTTGAACTTGTTCACTCCCTTTGAGCCTTTTGAGCCTGTGTGTCTCGTTCTGCGCCCTGGATTTCCCCCTCCCTGGACCCCTCAGTGGACCCAGTCTTGGTGTCCCCGTCGCCCTCCGCAGGGCCACGCAGGAGGAGTTGCAGCGCGACCGCTCGCCCGCCGCTGAGACCCCGCCCCTGCAGCGCCGCCCGTCAGTCCGCGCAGTGATCAGCACCGTAGAGCGGGGCGCGGGCCGCGGACGACCCCAGGCGAAGCCCATTCCCGAGGCAGAGGAGGCGCAGAGGCCTGAGCCGGTGGGGACCTCGAGCAACGCTGACTCGGCCTCCCCGGACCTGGGTCCCCGGGGTCCTGACCTGGCGGTTCTGCAGGCGGAGCGGGAAGTGGTGAGCCGCTAAGGAAGGGGTCTGGGGGCAGGGCCAGGCGACTGGAGGCGGGGCTAGGGCGTGGAAGGGCGGGGCCGGCTGCGGGACGGGCGTTCTCTGGTCAGACTTCTGCGTTATGGAAGAGGGGCTGGGTCGGGGGCGGGGCTTGGTTGTGGGGCGTGGCCAGGTGTTTGGGGCGTGGCCTGATCTGGGGAAGTGTATAGGTGCTCAGGTTCAGGGCTTCGACGGGGATGGTTTTGGAACTCGGGAGCCCTGAGCGTCCCCCTCCTCTGTCCCCTAGGACATCCTGAACCACGTGTTCGACGACGTAGAGAGCTTTGTATCGAGGCTGCAGAAGTCGGCGGAGGCGGCCAGGGTGCTGGAGCACCGGGAACGCGGCCGCAGGAGCCGGCGCCGGGCGGCTGGGGGTAAGGGGCACCCTGGCGTGGGATCTGAACCCCCTCCCGATCTCTTCCAAATGTCCCCGCTCTCCCCAGGCTCTCCCCTCCCGCCACTTGCCAGGGCTGACCTCACCGCCATCTTAACCGGGTGTCCACCTCTCTCTGCCTGCCTGGTGCTGGCCCCGCGTCCCCATCGCCGCGCCCGTCTGCTCCCCTCAGAGGGCTTGCTGACGCTGCGGGCCAAGCCGCCCTCGGAGGCCGAGTACACCGACGTGCTGCAGAAGATCAAGTACGCCTTCAGCCTGCTGGTGAGGACGCGCCCGCCCCTGGGCCGGGGCGCGGGCACGACGAACCTGTCCCGTCCCCGCACCCACGCCAACCACCTCCCTCCCCACGCCCCAGGCCCGGCTGCGCGGCAACATCGCCGACCCCTCCTCTCCGGAGCTGTTGCACTTCCTTTTCGGGCCTCTGCAGATGGTGAGACCCGCCCCAGGCCCTCGGGCCCCCCTGCAGCGGGAGGAATCGGGTTCGACTTGTAGAAGGTGTGGCGGCACAGCCTGCCCCTCCTGCTCCCCTGACAGATTGTGAACACGTCGGGGGGGCCGGAGTTCGCGAGCAGTGTGCGGCGGCCGCATCTGACATCGGATGCCGTGGCGCTGCTGCGGGACAACGTCACTCCACGTGAAAACGAGCTCTGGACCTCGCTGGGGGACTCGTGGACCCGCCCCGGGTGAGGGGCGGGGCTGGGAGGCAGGGGGCATGGTGATTGGAGGAGCATAAGGCGCTGGGAGGTGGGTGGCATGATGATTGGAAAATAGGACTAGGAGAGTAGGGAGGGGTTAGAGGCGTGGCTTAGTTGTGTTGGGGCGGGGCTTAGGACAGATGCCAAGATTCAATTGGAGGAAAGGCCAGGAATTAACGTGAAGGAAAGATTTAAGACCACCAGACCAATCGGATTGAAAGAAAAGGGGGGCTTAAAGGAATAGAGGGGCTAGGGGCTACGGGGCAGGGGCGGGGCTACGCGAAGGGGCGGGGCTTCTGGAAGGTTTGGTCTATAACTTTGGTGATGGGACAGAGTCTGTGCACTGCGGGCTGGCAGTTCCGCAGGGAAAGGGTCAGAACCTGAAACCGACCTTACGGAAAACCTGATTTGGAATCAGGTGAGATTTAGAGGCTGGATAAGGCAATTTTTTTCCAGAGAGAGAGATGGATGGGGTCTCAATATTTTGCCCAGGCTGGTCTGGAACTCCTGGCCTCAAGCGATCCTCCCATCTTGGCCTCCCAAAATGCTGGGATTACAGGCGTGAGCCACCGTGCCCGGTCTAGAAATATAAATTGCTGTTGAGTTGGGCTTAGAGCTACCGGCAGGACTTGGTGAAAAGTGGCGGGGCTAGAATCGTTGGAATACAGCGAGCTTTAGGGGAAAACTTAGTGAAGTTAATGCAGGAACGAAGTTGGGGGCTGTATCAGGATCCCTGAGCTCTTGGCCCTGTCCCTGGCCGCAGGCTGGAGCTGTCCCCGGAGGAGGGACCCCCATACAGACCCGAGTTCTTCAGCGGCTGGGAGCCGCCGGTCACTGACCCGCAGAGCCGCGCCTGGGAGGACCCAGTTGAGAAACAGCTACAGCACGAGCGGAGGCGCCGGCAGGTGACCCAAGCGACACAGCAGGGCCGAGGCTGGGAAGTCCGGGGGCGCGGCCGGTCCGCCTGGCCCCGCCTGACCCGACTGTCTTACTTCCTACAGCAAAGCGCCCCCCAGGTCGCTGTCAATGGGTGAGTGTCCGCCCCAGGGCAGGGCAAGGGGGTCAAGGAGGGGTGCGTCCCGGGGGCTCCCGATGCTGACTCCGCCCCCTTTTTTTCTGTGTTTTTCCTTCTGTCTTCCTGGCTCTTCTCAGGTGGGTGAGATGGTGATGGGGCGGGCCGGGGCTGGGAGAGAGGGAGGAGCAGGGTGGGAGGGGGCGGGACCCAGACTTCTGGGGCTAAGGGAGTTGGGAATGGAGACCCGGATTCCTGGGCCTAAGGGAGGAAGGGGGCTGGGAGTGGGTAAAGTCTGAGAGGTTGGATCCCTGGATCCCCAAAAGGCTGGAAGAAGCCAGTTTGTTTTCCCAGGGCCTGGGAAGCACCATGCCTGGGCTCCCTAGGAGGACAGAGCCCTGGATATTGGAGGGGAGAGGCTGGGGAATTGGACCTTTGGGTTTTGAAGAAGAGCCCAAGTCTGGTGCTTGGGATCCTGGAGACCCAGAGGAGCAGGCTTGGGACTTCAAGGGCTTGGGGGCAAGTTTCTGGGAAAGTTAGGAAGTGGTAGTATCTCTGGGCCCCCGAGAGGGGTAAAGGCTGGACGATTAAACTCTTGGTTTTCCAGAGGCTCTAATGCAATTGTCTAAGTCGCTGCTGGGTGTCGGACTGGGTTAAAAGGTTTGAGGGTTAAAAGGATAAGATTGAAGCTT